>NC_000017.11:26404983-26566633 GCF_000001405.40 Homo sapiens | reverse complement strand
TCTCTCCAGTTTTTATGTGACCATAATTCGTTTTCCACCACAGGCCTGAAAGCGCTCCAAATGTCCACTTGTAGACACTACGAAAAGCATGTTTCAGAACTACTCTATGAAAAGCAATGTGAAACTCTGGGAGTTGAACACAAACATCACAGAGAAGTTTCTGAGAATGCTTCTGTTTTAGTTCTGTGCGTTTTATCCCGTTTCCAACGAAATCCTCAGAGAGGCCCAAATATCCACTTGCAGATTCCACAGAAAGAGTGATTGGAAACTGCTGTTTGAAAAGGAACCTTCAACTCTGTGAGTTGAATGCAATCATCACAAAGAAGTTTCTGACAATGCTTCTATCTAGCTTTTACGGGAAGTTAATTCCTTTTCCACCACAGGCCTCAAAGCCCTCCAAATGTCCACTTGCAGATTCTGGAAAAAGAGTGTTTCAAAGCTTCTCTCTCGAAAGGAAAGTTCAACTCTGTGAGTTGAATGCAAGCATCACAAAGAAGTTTCTGAGAATGCTACTGTCTAGCTTTTATATGAAGCTATTTCCTTTACTACCATAGGCCTCAAAGCGGTCCATATCTCCACTTGCAGATTCTACACAAAGAGAGTTTCCAAACTGCTCTGTCAAAGGGAATGTTCAACTCTGTGACTTGAATGCAATCATCACAAAGTAGTTTCTGAGAATGCTTCTGTTTTAGTTCTGTGCGGTTTATCCCATTTCCAACGAAATCCTCAGAGAGGCCTAAATATCCACTTGCAGATTCTACAAAGAGTGTGTTTCGAAACTGCTCCATCCAAAGGAATGTTCAGCTCTGTGAGTCAAACTCAGACGTCACCAAGAGTTTTCTGTGAATGCTTCTGTTTAGTTCTGTGCGGTTTATCACGTTTCCAACGAAATCCTCAGAGAGGACCAAATATCCACTTGCAGTTTCTACAAAAAGAGTGTTTCAAAGCTGAACTATCAAAGAAAGGTTCAGCACTGTGTGTTGAATGCAAACATCACGAAGAGGGTTCTGAGAATTCTTCTGTTTAGTTCTGTGCGGTTTATCCCGTTTCCAACGAAATCCTCAGAGAGGACCAAATATCCACTTGCAGTTTCTACAAAAAGAGTGTTTCAAAGCTGAACTATCAAAGAAAGGTTCAGCACCGTGAGTTGAATGCAAACATCACGAAGAGGGTTCTGAGAATGCTTCTGTCTTCTTTTTATAGGAAGTTATTTCCTTTACTACGGTAGGCCTCAAAGAAGTGCAATGATCCCCTTGCAGTTTCTACAAAAAGAGTGTTTCAAACCTGAACTATCAAAGAAAGGTTCCACACTGTGAGTTGAATGCAGATATCACGAAGAAGGTTCTGAGAATGCTTCTGTTTAGTCAGCTGAAATTATCCCGTTTCCAACGAATTCCTCAGAGAGGTCCAAATATGCACTTGCAGATTCTGCAGAAAGTGTGTTTCTAAACTGCTACATCGCAAGGAATGTTCAGCTCTGTGAGTTCCACTCAATCATCCCAAAGAATTTTCTGAGAAAGCTTCTGTCTAGATGTCATGTGAAGATATACCCGTTTCGAACGAAGGCCACAGAGTGGTCCAAATATCCACTTGTAGATCCTGCAAAAAGAGGGTTTCAAACCTGAACTTTGAAAGGAAAGTTCAAATCTGGGATTTGAATGCAAACATCACAAAGAAGATTCTGAGACTGCTTCTGTATAGTTTTTATGTGAAGATGATTCCGTTTCCAAAGTAAATCTTCAAAGAGGTCTACATGTCCCCTTGCAGATGCCACAGAAAGAGAGTTTCAAAACTGCGCTCTCAAAAGGAGTGTTCAACTCCGTGAGTTGAATGCAGTCATCACAGAGAAGCTTCTGAGGATGCTTCCATCTAGTATTTATGTGAAGATATTTCCTTTTCCACCACAAACCTCAAAGCCCTCCAAATATCCACTTGCAGATTCTAGAAAAAGAGTGTTTCATAGCTGCTCTTTCCGAAGGAAAGTTCAACTCTGGAAGTTGAATACAATCAGCACCAAGGGGTTCCTGAGAATGCTTCTGTCTAGTTTTTATATGAAGCTATTCCCTTTACTACCATAGGCCTCAAAGCACTCCAAATCTCCACTTGCAGATTCTACAGCAAGAGTGTTTCCAAACTGCTCTCCCAATAGGAATGTTCAACTCTCTGAGGTGAATGCAATCATCACAAAGTAGTTTCTGAGAATGCTTCCGTTTAGTTAGGTGCAGTTATCCCGTTTCCAACGAAATCCTCAGAGAGGTCCAAATATCCACTTGTAGATTCTACAAAAAGTGTGTCTCAAACCTGCTCCATCCAAAGGAATGTTCAGCTCTGTGAGTTAAACTCAATCATCACAAAGTATTTTCTGAGAATGCTTCTGTCTAGATTTTATGCGAAGATATACCCGTTTCGAACGAAGGCCACAGAGTGGTCCAAATATCCACTTGCAGATCCTACAAAAAGAGTGTTTCAAACCTGAACTATCAAAGGAAGGTTCAACTCTGGGATTTGAATGCAAACATCACCAAGAAGTTTCTGAGAATGCTTCTGTTTAGTTTTTATGTGAAGATATTCCCGTTTCCAAAGACATCTTCGGAGAGGTCCACATATCCACTTGCAGATTCCACAAAAAGAGAGTTTCAAGAATGCTCTATCCATAGGAGGGTTCAACTCTGTGAGTTGAATGCAATCATCACAGAGAAGTTTCTGAGAAGGCTTCTCTCCAGTTTTTATGTGACCATAATTCGGTTTTCCACCACAGGCCTGAAAGCGCTCCAAATGTCCACTTGCAGACACTACGAAAAGCATGTTTCAGAACTACTCTATGAAAAGCAATGTGAAACTCTGGGAGTTGAACACAAACATCACAGAGAAGTTTCTGAGAATGCTTCTGTTTAGCTTTTCTGTGAAGATTCTCCCGTTTCCAACGAAATCTTCAAAGAGGTCGAAATATCCACTTGCAGATTCCACAGAAAGAGTGATTGGAAACTGCTGTTTGAAAAGGAACCTTCAACTCCTGTGAGTTGAATGCAATCATCACAAAGAAGTTTCTGACAATGCTTCTATCTAGCTTTTACGGGAAGATAATTCCTTTTCCACCACAGGCCTCAAAGCCCTCCAAATGTCCACTTGCAGATTCTGGAAAAAGAGTGTTTCAAAGCTTCTCTCTCGAAAGGAAAGTTCAACTCTGTGAGTTGAATGCAAGCATCACAAAGAAGTTTCTGAGAATGCTACTGTCTAGCTTTTATATGAAGCTATTTCCTTTACTACCATAGGCCTCAAAGCGGTCCATATCTCCACTTGCAGATTCTACACAAAGAGAGTTTCCAAACTGCTCTGTCAAAGGGAATGTTCAACTCTGTGACTTGAATGCAATCATCACAAAGTAGTTTCTGAGAATGCTTCTGTTTAGTTCTGTGCGGTTTATCCCGTTTCCAACGAAATCCTCAGAGAGGCCTAAATATCCACTTGCACATTCTACAAATAGTGTGTTTCGAAACTGCTCCATCCAAAGGAATGTTCAGCTCTGTGAGTTAAACTCAGTCGTCACCAAGAGTTTTCTGTGAATGCTTCTGTTTTAGTTCTGAGCGGTTTATCCCTTTTCCAACGAAATCCTCAGAGAGGTCCAAATATCTACTTGCAGTTTCTACAGAAAGACCGTTTCAAACCTGAACTATCAAAGAAAGGTTCAACACTGTGAGTTGAATGCAAACATCACGAAGTAGGTTCTGAGAATGCTTCTGTTTTAGTTCTGTGCGGTTTATCCCGTTTCCAACGAAATCCTCAGAGAGGACCAAACATCCACTTGCAGTTTCTACAAAAAGAGTGTTTCAAAGCTGCACTATCAAAGAAAGGTTCAGCACTGTGAGTTGAATGCAAACATCACGAAGAGGGCTCTGAGAATTCTTCTGTCTTCTTTCTATAGGAAGTTATTTCCTTTACTACGGTAGGCCTCAAAGAAGTGCAATTATCCCCTTGCAGTTTCTACAAAAAGAGTGTTTCAAACCTGAACTATCAAAGAAAGGTTCCACACTGTGAGTTGAATGCAGACATCACGAAGAAGGTTCTGAGAATGCTTCTGTTTAGTCAGCTGAAATTATCCCGTTTCCAACGAATTCCTCAGAGAGGTCCAAATATGCACTTGCAGATTCTGCAGAAAGTGTGTTTCTAAACTGCTACATCGCAAGGAATGTTCAGCTCTGTGAGTTCCACTCAATCATTCCAAAGAATTTTCTGAGAAAGCTTCTGTCTAGATGTCGTGTGAAGATATACCCGTTTCGAACGAAGGACACAGAGTGGTCCAAATATCCACTTGTAGATCCTGCAAAAAGAGTGTTTCAAACGTGAACTTTGAAAGGAAAGTTCAACTCTGGGATTTGAATGCAAACATCACAAAGAAGATTCTGAGACTGCTTCTGCATAGTTTTGATGTGAAGATGATTCCGTTTCCAACGAAATCTTCAAAGAGGTCTACATGTCCCCTTGCGGATGCCACAGAAAGAGAGTTTCAAAACTGCGCTCTCAAAAGGAGTGTTCAACTCCGTGAGTTGAATGCAGTCATCACAGAGAAGCTTCTGAGAATGCTTCTATCTAGTATTTAGGTGAAGATATTTCCTTTTCCACCACAAACCACAAAGCCCTCCAAACGTCCACTTGCAGATTCTAGAAAAAGAGTGTTTCATAGCTGCTCTTTCCAAAGGAAAGTTCAACTCTGGGAGTTGAATACAAACATCACCAAAAAGTTCCTGAGAATGCATCTGTCTAGTTTTTTATGAAGCTATTCCCTTTACTACCATAGGCCTCAAAGCGCTCCAAATCTCCACTTGCACATTCCAAAAGAAGAGTGTTTCCAAACTGCTCTATCAATAGTAATGTTCAACTCTTTGAGGTGAATGCAATCATCACAAAGCAGTTTCTGAGAATGCTTCCGTTTAGTTAGGTGCAGTTATCCCTTTTCCTACGAAATCCTCAGCGATGTCCAAATATCCACTTGTAGATTCTACAAATAGTGTGTCTCAAACCTGCTCCATCCAAAGGAATGTTCAGCTCTGTGAGTTCAACTCAATCATCACAAAGTATTTTCTGAGAATGCTTCTGTCTAGATTTTATGCGAAGATGTACCCGTTTCGAACGAAGGCCACAGAGTGTTCCAAATATCCACTTGCAGATCCTACAAAAAGAGTGTTTCAAACCTGAACTATCAAAGGAAGGTTCAACTCTGGGATTTGAATGCAAACATCACCAAGAAGTTTCTGAGAATGCTTCTGTTTAGTTTTTATGTGAAGATATTCCCGTTTCCAAAGACATCTTCGGAGAGGTCCACATATCCACTTGCAGATTCCACAAAAAGAGAGTTTCAACACTGCTCTATCCATAGGAGGGTTCAACTCTGTGAGTTGAATGCAATCATCACAGAGAAGTTTCTGAGAAGGCTTCTCTCCAGTTTTTATGTGACCATAATTCGTTTTCCACCACAGGCCTGAAAGCGCTCCAAATGTCCACTTGCAGACACTACGAAAAGCATGTTTCAGAACTACTCTATGAAAAGCAACGTGAAACTCTGGGAGTTGAACACAAACATCACAGAGAAGTTTCTGAGAATGCTTCTGTTTAGCTTTTCTGTGAAGATTCTCCCGTTTCCAACGAAATCTTCAAAGAGGTCCAAATATCCACTTGCAGATTCCACAGAAAGAGTGATTGGAAACTGCTCTTTGAAAAGGAACCTTCAACTCTGTGACTTGAATGCAATCATCACAAAGAAGTTTCTGACAATGCTTCTATCTAGCTTTTACGGGAAGATAATTCCTTTTCCACCACAGGCCTCAAAGCCCTCCAAATGTCCACTTGCAGATTCTGGAAAAAGAGTGTTTCAAAGCTTCTCTCTCGAAAGGAAAGTTCAACTCTGTGAGTTGAATGCAAGCATCACAAAGAAGTTTCTGAGAATGCTACTGTCTAGCTTTTATATGAAGCTATTTCCTTTACTACCATAGGCCTCAAAGCGGTCCATATCTCCACTTGCAGATTCTACACAAAGAGAGTTTCCAAACTGCTCTGTCAAAGGGAATGTTCAACTCTGTGACTTGAATGCAATCATCACAAAGTAGTTTCTGAGAATGCTTCTGTTTAGTTCTGTGCGGTTTATCCCGTTTCCAACGAAATCCTCAGAGAGGCCCACATATCCACTTGCACCTTCTAGAAATAGTGTGTTTCGAAACTGCTCCATCCAAAGGAATATTCAGCTCTGTGAGTTAAACTCAGTCGTCACCAAGAGTTTTCTGTGAATGCTTCTGTTTTAGTTCTGTGCGGTTTATCCCGTTTCCAACGAAATCCTCAGAGAGGTCCAAATATCTACTTGCAGTTTCTACAGAAAGACCGTTTCAAACCTGAACTATCAAAGAAAGGTTCAACACTGTGAGTTGAATGCAAACATCACGAAGAAGGTTCTGAGAATGCTTCTGTTTAGTTCTGTGCGGTTTATCCCGTTTCCAACGAAATCCTCAGAGAGGACCAAATATCCACTTGCAGTTTCTACAAGAAGAGTGTTTCAAAGCTGAACTATCAAAGAAAGGTTCAGCACTGTGAGTTGAATGCAAACATCACGAAGAGGGTTCTGAGAATGCTTCTGTCTTCTTTATATAGGAAGTTATTTCCTTTACTACGGTAGGCCTCAAAGAAGTGCAATTATCCCCTTGCAGTTTCTACAAAAAGAGTGTTTCAAACCTGAACTATCAAAGAAAGGTTCCACACTGTGAGTTGAATGCAGACATCACGAAGAAGGTTCTGAGAATGCTTCTGTTTAGTCAGCTGAAATTATCCCGTTTCCAACGAATTCCTCAGAGAGGTCCAAATATGCACTTGCAGATTCTGCAGAAAGTGTGTTTCTAAACTGCTACATCGCAAGGAATGTTCAGCTCTGTGAGTTCCACTCACTCATCCCAAAGAATTTTCTGAGAAAGCTTCTGTCTAGATGTCGTGTGAAGATATACCCGTTTCGAACGAAGGACACAGAGTGGTCCAAATATCCACTTGTAGATCCTGCAAAAAGAGTGTTTCAAACGTGAACTTTGAAAGGAAAGTTCAACTCTGGGATTTGAATGCAAACATCACAAAGAAGATTCTGAGACTGCTTCTGTATAGTTTTTATGTGAAGATGATTCCGTTTCCAACGAAATCTTCAAAGAGGTCTACATGTCCCCTTGCAGATGCCACAGAAAGAGAGTTTCAAAACTGCGCTCTCAAAAGGAGTGTTCAACTCCGTGAGTTGAATGCAGTCATCACAGAGAAGCTTCTGAGAATGCTTCTATCTAGTATTTAGGTGAAGATATTTCGTTTTCCACCACAAACAACAAAGACCTCCAAACGTCCACGTGCAGATTCTAGAAAAAGAGTGTTTCATAGCTGCTCTTTCCAAAGGAAAGTTCAACTCTGGGAGTTGAATACAATCATCACCAAAAAGTTCCTGAGAATGCATCTGTCTATTTTTTCTATGAAGCTATTCCCTTTACTACCATAGGCCTCAAAGCGCTCCAAATCTCCACTTGCACATTCCACAACAAGAGTGTTTCCAAACTGCTCTATCAATAGGAATGTTCAACTCTGTGAGGTGAATGCAATCATCACAAAGCAGTTTCTGAGAATGCTTCCGTTTAGTTAGGTGCAGTTATCCCGTTTCCAACGAAATCCTCAGAGAGGTCCAAATATCCACTTGTAGATTCTACAAAAGGTGTGTCTCAAACCTGCTCCATCCAAAGGAATGTTCAGCTCTGTGAGTTAAACTCAATCATCACAAAGTATTTTCTGAGAATGCTTCTGTCTAGATTTTATGCGAAGATATACCCGTTTCGAACGAAGGCCACAGAGTGGTCCAAATAGCCACTTGCAGATCCTACAAAAAGAGTGTTTCAAACCTGAACTATCAAAGGAAGGTTCAACTCTGGGATTTGAATGCAAACATCACCAAGAAGTTTCTGAGAATGCTTCTGTTTAGTTTTTATGTGAAGATATTCCCGTTTCCAAAGACATCTTCGGAGAGGTCCACATATCCACTTGCAGATTCCACAAAAAGAGAGTTTCAACACTGCTCTATCCATAGGAGGGTTCAACTCTGTGAGTTGAATGCAATCATCACAGAGAAGTTTCTGAGAAGGCTTCTCTCCAGTTTTTATGTGACCATAATTCGTTTTCCACCACAGGCCGGAAAGCGCTCCAAATGACCACTTGCAGACACTACGAAAAGCATGTTTCAGAACTACTCTATGAGAAGCAATGTGAAACTCTGGGAGTTGAACACAAACATCACAGAGAAGTTTACTGAGAATGCTTCTGTTTTAGTTCTGTGCGTTTTATCCCGTTTCCAACGAAATCCTCAGAGAGGCCCAAATATCCACTTGCAGATTCCACAGAAAGAGTGATTGGAAACTGCTGTTTGAAAAGGAACCTTCAACTCTGTGAGTTGAATGCAATCATCACAAAGAAGTTTCTGACAATGCTTCTATCTAGCTTTTACGGGAAGATAATTCCTTTTCCTCCACAGGCCTCAAAGCTCCCAAAATGTCCACTTGCACATTCTGGAAAAAGAGTGTTTCAAAGCTTCTCTCTCGAAAGGAAAGTTCAACTCTGTGAGTTGAATGCAAGCATCACAAAGAAGTTTCTGAGAATGCTACTGTCTAGCTTTTATATGAAGCTATTTCCTTTACTACCATAGGCCTCAAAGCGGTCCATATCTCCACTTGCAGATTCTACACAAAGAGAGTTTCCAAACTGCTCTGTCAAAGGGAATGTTCAACTCTGTGACTTGAATGCAATCATCACAAAGTAGTTTCTGAGAATGCTTCTGTTTTAGTTCTGTGCGTTTTACCCCGTTTCCAACGAAATCCTCAGAGAGGCCCAAATATCCACTTGCAGATTCTACAAATATTGTGTTTCGAAACTGCTCCATCCAAAGGAATGTTCAGCTCTGTGAGTTAAACTCAGTCGTCACCAAGAGTTTTCTGTGAATGCTCTTCTGTTTTAGTTCTGTGCGGTTTATCCCGTTTCCAACGAAATCCTCAGAGAGGACCAAATATCCACTTGCAGTTTCTACAAAAAGAGTGTTTCAAAGCTGCACTATCAAAGAAAGGTTCAGCACTGTGAGTTGAATGCAAACATCACGAAGAGGGCTCTGAGAATTCTTCTGTTTAGTTCTGTGCGGTTTATCCCGTTTCCAACGAAATCCTCAGAGAGGACCAAATATCCACTTGCAGTTTCTACAAGAAGAGTGTTTCAAAGCTGAACTATCAAAGAAAGGTTCAGCACTGTGAGTTGAATGCAAACATCACGAAGAGGGTTCTGAGAATGCTTCTGTCTTCTTTTTATAGGAAGTTATTTCCTTTACTACGGTACTCCTCAAAGAGTGCAATTATCCCCTTGCAGTTTCTACAGAAAGAGTGTTTCAAACCTGAACTATCAAAGAAAGGTTCCACACTGTGAGTTGAATGCAGACATCACGAAGAAGGTTCTGAGAATGCTTCTGTTTAGTCAGCTGAAATTATCCCGTTTCCAACGAATTCCTCAGAGAGGTCCAAATATGCACTTGCAGATTCTGCAGAAAGTGTGTTTCTAAACTGCTACATCGCAAGGAATGTTCAGCTCTGTGAGTTCCACTCAATCATCCCAAAGAATTTTCTGAGAAAGCTTCTGTCTAGATGTCGTGTGAAGATATACCCGTTTCGAACGAAGGACACAGAGTGGTCCAAATATCCACTTGTAGATCCTGCAAAAAGAGTGTTTCAAACGTGAACTTTGAAAGGAAAGTTCAACTCTGGGATTTGAATGCAAACATCACAAAGAAGATTCTGAGACTGCTTCTGTATAGTTTTTATGTGAAGATGATTCCGTTTCCAACGAAATCTTCAAAGAGGTCTACATGTCCCCTTGCAGATGCCACAGAAAGAGAGTTTCAAAACTGCGCTCTCAAAAGGAGTGTTCAACTCCGTGAGTTGAATGCAGTCATCACAGAGAAGCTTCTGAGGATGCTTCTATCTAGTATTTAGGTGAAGATATTTCCTTTTCCACCACAAACCACAAAGCCCTCCAAACGTCCACTTGCAGATTCTAGAAAAAGAGTGTTTCATAGCTGCTCTTTCCAAAGGAAAGTTCAACTCTGGGAGTTGAATACAAACATCACCAAAAAGTTCCTGAGAATGCATCTGTCTAGTTTTTCTATGAAGCTATTCCCTTTACTACCATAGGCCTCAAAGCGCTCCAAATCTCCACTTGCACATTCCACAACAAGAGTGTTTCCAAACTGCTCTATCAATAGGAATGTTCAACTCTGTGAGGTGAATGCAATCATCACAAAGCAGTTTCTGAGAATGCTTCCGTTTAGTTAGGTGCAGTTATCCCGTTTCCAACGAAATCCTCAGAGAGGTCCAAATATCCACTTGTAGATTCTACAAAAAGTGTGTCTCAAACCTGCTCCATCCAAAGGAATGGTCAGCTCTGTGATTTAAACTCAATCATCACAAAGTATTTTCTGAGAATGCTTCTGTCTAGATTTTATGCGAAGTATATACCCGTTTCGAACGAAGGCCACAGAGTGGTCCAAATAGCCACTTGCAGATCCTACAAAAAGAGTGTTTCAAACCTGAACTATCAAAGGAAGGTTCAACTCTGGGATTTGAATGCAAACATCACCAAGAAGTTTCTGAGAATGCTTCTGTTTAGTTTTTATGTGAAGATATTCCCGTTTCCAAAGACATCTTCGGAGAGGTCCACATATCCACTTGCAGATTCCACAAAAAGAGAGTTTCAACACTGCTCTATCCATAGGAGGGTTCAACTCTGTGAGTTGAATGCAATCATCACAGAGAAGTTTCTGAGAAGGCTTCTCTCCAGTTTTTATGTGACCATAATTCGTTTTCCACCACAGGCCTGAAAGCGCTCCAAATGTCCACTTGTAGACACTACGAAAAGCATGTTTCAGAACTACTCTATGAAAAGCAATGTGAAACTCTGGGAGTTGAACACAAACATCACAGAGAAGTTTCTGAGAATGCTTCTGTTTAGCTTTTCTGTGAAGATTATCCCTTTTCCAACGAAATCTTCAAAGACGTCCAAATATCCACTTGCAGATTCCACAGAAAGAGTGTTTGGAAACTGCTGTTTGAAAAGGAACCTTCAACTCTGTGAGTTGAATGCAATCATCACAAAGAAGTTTCTGACAATGCTTCTATCTAGCTTTTACGGGAAGGTAATTCCTTTTCCACCACAGGCCTCAAAGCCCTCCAAATGTCCCCTTGCAGATTCTGGAAAAAGAGTGTTTCAAAGCTTCTCTCTCGAAAGGAATGTTCAACTCTGTGAGTTGAATGCAAGCATCACAAAGAAGTTTCTGAGAATGCTACTGTCTAGCTTTTATATGAAGCTATTCCCTTTACTACCATAGTCCTCAAAGCATTCCATATCTCCACTTGCAGATTCTACACAAAGAGAGTTTCCAAACTGCTCCGTCAAAGGGAATGTTCAGCTCTGTGACTTGAATGCAAACATCACAAAGTAGTTTCTGAGAATGCTTCTGTTTTAGTTCTGTGCGGTTTATCCCGTTTCCAACGAAATCCTCAGAGAGGCCCAAATATCCACCTGCAGATTCTACAAAGAGTGTGTTTCGAAACTGCTTCAACCAAGGGAATGTTCAGCTCTGTGAGTTAAACTCAGTCGTCACCAAGAGTTTTCTGTGAATGCTTCTGTTTAGTTCTGTGCGGTTTATCCCTTTTCCAACGAAATCCTCAGAGAGGACCAAATATCCACTTGCAGTTTCTACAAAAAGAGTGTTTCAAAGCTGAACTATCAAAGAAAGGCTCAGCACTGTGAGTTGAATGCAAACATCACGAAGAGGGTTCTGAGAATGCTTCTGTCTTCTTTTTATAGGAAGTTATTTCCTTTACTACGGTAGGCCTCAAAGAAGTGCAATTATCCCCTTGCAGTTTCTACAAAAAGAGTGTTTCAAACCTGAACTATCAAAGAAAGGTTCGACACTGTGAGTTGAATGCAGACATCACGAAGAAGGTTCTGAGAATGCTTCTGTTTAGTCAGCTGAAATTATCCCGTTTCCAACGAATTCCTCAGAGACGTCCAAATATGCACTTGCAGATTCTGCAGAAAGTGTGTTTCTAAACTGCTCCATCGCAAGGACTGTTCAGCTCTGTGAGTTCAACTCAATCTTCCCAAAGAATTTTCTGAGAAAGCTTCTGTCTAGATGTCATGTGAAGATATACCCGTTACGAACGAAGGACACAGAGTGGTCCAAATATCCACTTGTAGATCCTGCAAAAAGAGTGTTTCAAACGTGAACTTTGAAAGGAAAGTTCAACTCTGGGATTTGAATGCAAACATGACAAAGAAGATTCTGAGACTGCTTCTGTATAGTTTTTATGTGAAGATGATTCCGTTTCCAACGAAATCTTCAAAGAGGTCTACATGTCCCCTTGCAGATGCCACAGAAAGAGAGTTCCAAAACTGCGCTCTCAAAAGGAGTGTTCAACTCCGTGAGTTGAATGCAGTCATCACAGAGAAGCTTCTGAGAATGCTTCTATCTAGTATTTAGGTGAAGATATTTCCTTTTCCACCACAAACCACAAAGCCCTCCAAACGTCCACTTGCAGATTCTAGAAAAAGAGTGTTTCATAGCTGCTCTTTCCAAAGGAAAGTTCAACTCTGGGAGTTGAATACAAACATCACCAAAAAGTTCCTGAGAATGCATCTGTCTAGTTTTTCTATGAAGCTATTCCCTTTACTACCACAGGCCTCAAAGCGCTCCAAATCTCCACTTGCACATTCCACAACAAGAGTGTTTCCAAACTGCTCTATCAATAGGAATGTTCAACTCTGTGAGGTGAATGCAATCATCACAAAGCAGTTTCTGAGAATGCTTCCGTTTAGTTAGGTGCAGTTATCCCGTTTCCAACGAAATCCTCAGAGAGGTCCAAATATCCACTTGTAGATTCTACAAAAAGTGTGTCTCAAACCTGCTCCATCCAAAGGAATGTTCAGCTCTGTGAGTTCAACTCAATCATCACAAAGTATTTTCTGAGAATGCTTCTGTCTAGATTTTATGCGAAGATATACCCGTTTCGAACGAAGGCCACAGAGTGGTCCACATAGCCACTTGCAGATCCTACAGAAAGAGTGTTTCAAACCTGAACTATCAAAGGAAGGTTCAACTCTGGGATTTGAATGCAAACATCACCAAGAAGTTTCTGAGAATGCTTCTGTTTAGTTTTTATGTGAAGATATTCCCGTTTCCAAAGACATCTTCGGAGAGGTCCACATATCCACTTGCAGATTCCACAAAAAGAGAGTTTCAACAATGCTCTATCCATAGGAGGGTTCAAATCTGTGAGTTGAATGCAATCATCACAGAGAAGTTTCTGAGAAGGCTTCTCTCCAGTTTTTATGTGACCATAATTCGTTTTCCACCACAGGCCTGAAAGCGCTCCAAATGTCCACTTGCAGACACTACGAAAAGCATGTTTCAGAACTACTCTATGAAAAGCAACGTGAAACTCTGGGAGTTGAACACAAACATCACAGAGAAGTTTCTGAGAATGCTTCTGTTTAGCTTTCCTGTGAAGATTCTCCCGTTTCCAACGAAATCTTCAAAATAGGTCCAAATATCCACTTGCAGATTCCACACAAAGAGTGATTGGAAACTGCTCTTTGAAAAGGAACCTTCAACTCTGTGAGTTGAATGCAATCATCACAAAGAAGTTTCTGACAATGCTTCTATCTAGCTTTTAAGGGAAGTTAATTCCTTTTCCACCACAGGCCTCAAAGCCCTCCAAATGTCCACTTGCAGATTCTGGAAAAAGAGTGTTTCAAAGCTTCTCTCTCGAAAGGAAAGTTCAACTCTGTGAGTTGAATGCAAGCATCACAAAGAAGTTTCTGAGAATGCTACTGTCTAGCTTTTATATGAAGCTATTTCCTTTACTACCATAGGCCTCAAAGCGGTCCATATCTCCACTTGCAGATTCTACACAAAGAGAGTTTCCAAACTGCTCTGTCAAAGGGAATGTTCAACTCTGTGACTTGAATGCAATCATCACAAAGTAGTTTCTGAGAATGCTTCTGTTTTAGTTCTGTGCGGTTTATCCCGTTTCCATCGAAATCCTCAGAGAGGCCCAAATATCCACTTGCAGATTCTACAAATAGTGTGTTTCGAAACTGCTCCATCCAAAGGAATGTTCAGCTCTGTGAGTTAAACTCAGTCGTCACCAAGAGTTTTCTGTGAATGCTTCTGTTTTAGTTCTGTGCGGGTTATCCCGTTTCCAACGAAATCCTCAGAGAGGTCCAAATATCTACTTGCAGTTTCTACAGAAAGACCGTTTCAAACCTGAACTATCAAAGAAAGGTTCAACACTGTGAGTTGAATGCAAACATCACGAAGAAGGTTCTGAGAATGCTTCTGTTTTAGTTCTGTGCGGTTTATCCCGTTTCCAACGAAATCCTCAGAGAGGACCAAACATCCACTTGCAGTTTCTACAAAAAGAGTGTTTCAAAGCTGCACTATCAAAGAAAGGTTCAGCACTGTGAGTTGAATGCAAACATCACGAAGAGGGCTCTGAGAATTCTTCTGTCTTCTTTCTATAGGAAGTTATTTCCTTTACTACGGTAGGCCTCAAAGAAGTGCAATTATCCCCTTGCAGTTTCTACAAAAAGAGTGTTTCAAACCTGAACTATCAATGAAAGGTTCCACACTGTGAGTTGAATGCAGACATCACGAAGAAGGTTCTGAGAATGCTTCTGTTTAGTCAGCTGAAATTATCCCGTTTCCAACGAATTCCTCAGAGAGGTCCAAATATGCACTTGCAGATTCTGCAGAAAGTGTGTTTCTAAACTGCTACATCGCAAGGAATGTTCAGCTCTGTGAGTTCCACTCAATCATCCCAAAGAATTTTCTGAGAAAGCTTCTGTCTAGATGTCGTGTGAAGATATACCCGTTTCGAACGAAGGACACAGAGTGGTCCAAATATCCACTTGTAGATCCTGCAAAAAGAGTGTTTCAAACGTGAACTTTGAAAGGAAAGTTCAACTCTGGGATTTGAATGCAAACATCACAAAGAAGATTCTGAGACTGCTTCTGTATAGTTTTTATGTGAAGATGAATTCCGTTTCCAACGAAATCTTCAAAGAGGTCTACATGTCCCCTTGCAGATGCCACAGAAAGAGAGTTTCAAAACTGCGCTCTCAAAAGGAGTGTTCAACTCCGTGAGTTGAATGCAGTCATCACAGAGAAGCTTCTGAGAATGCTTCTATCTAGTATTTAGGTGAAGATATTTCCTTTTCCACCACAAACCACAAAGCCCTCCAAACGTCCACTTGCAGATTCTAGAAAAAGAGTGTTTCATAGCTGCTCTTTCCAAAGGAAAGTTCAACTCTGGGAGTTGAATACAAACATCACCAAAAGGTTCCTGAGAATGCATCTGTCTAGTTTTTCTATGAAGCTATTCCCTTTACTACCATAGGCCTCAAAGCGCTCCAAATCTCCACTTGCACATTCCACAACAAGAGTGTTTCCAAACTGCTCTATCAATAGGAATGTTCAACTCTGTGAGGTGAATGCAATCATCACAAAGCAGTTTCTGAGAATGCTTCCGTTTAGTTAGGTGCAGTTATCCCGTTTCCAACGAAATCCTCAGAGAGGTCCAAATATCCACTTGTAGATTCTACAAAAAGTGTGTCTCAAACCTGCTCCATCCAAAGGAATGTTCAGCTCTGTGAGTTAAACTCAATCATCACAAAGTATTTTCTGAGAATGCTTCTGTCTAGATTTTATGCGAAGATATACCCGTTTCGAACGAAGGCCACAGAGTGGTCCAAATAGCCACTTGCAGATCCTACAGAAAGAGTGTTTCAAACCTGAACTATCAAAGGAAGGTTCAACTCTGGGATTTGAATGCAAACATCACCAAGAAGTTTCTGAGAATGCTTCTGTTTAGTTTTTATGTGAAGATATTCCCGTTTCCAAAGACATCTTCGGAGAGGTCCACATATCCACTTGCAGATTCCACAAAAAGAGAGTTTCAACACTGCTCTATCCATAGGAGGGTTCAACTCTGTGAGTTGAATGCAATCATCACAGAGAAGTTTCTGAGAAGGCTTCTCTCCAGTTTTTATGTGACCATAATTCGTTTTCCACCACAGGCCTGAAAGCGCTCCAAATGTCCACTTGCAGACACTACGAAAAGCATGTTTCAGAACTACTCTATGAAAAGCAATGTGAAACTCTGGGAGTTGAACACAAACATCACAGAGAAGTTTCTGAGAATGCTTCTGTTTAGCTTTCCTGTGAAGATTCTCCCGTTTCCAACGAAATCTTCAAAATAGGTCCAAATATCCACTTGCAGATTCCACACAAAGAGTGATTGGAAACTGCTCTTTGAAAAGGAACCTTCAACTCTGTGAGTTGAATGCAATCATCACAAAGAAGTTTCTGACAATGCTTCTATCTAGCTTTTACGGGAAGATAATTCCTTTTCCACCACAGGCCTCAAAGCCCTCCAAATGTCCACTTGCAGATTCTGGAAAAAGAGTGTTTCAAAGCTTCTCTCTCGAAGGGAAAGTTCAACTCTGTGAGTTGAATGCAAGCATCACAAAGAAGTTTCTGAGAATGCTACTGTCTAGCTTTTATATGAAGCTATTTCCTTTACTACCATAGGCCTCAAAGGGGTCCATATCTCCACTTGCAGATTCTACACAAAGAGAGTTTCCAAACTGCTCTGTCAAAGGGAATGTTCAACTCTGTGACTTGAATGCAATCATCACAAAGTAGTTTCTGAGAATGCTTCTGTTTAGTTCTGTGCGGTTTATCCCGTTTCCAACGAAATCCTCAGAGAGGCCCACATATCCACTTGCACATTCTACAAATAGTGTGTTTTGAAACTGCTCCATCCAAAGGAATGTTCAGCTCTGTGAGTTAAACTCAGTCGTCACCAAGAGTTTTCTGTGAATGCTTCTGTTTTAGTTGTGTGCGGTTTATCCCGTTTCCAACGAAATCCTCAGAGAGGTCCAAATATCTACTTGCAGTTTCTACAGAAAGACCATTTCAAACCTGAACTATCAAAGAAAGGTTCAACACTGTGAGTTGAATGCAAACATCACGAAGAAGGTTCTGAGAATGCTTCTGTTTAGTTCTGTGCGGTTTATCCCGTTTCCAACGAAATCCTCAGAGAGGACCAAATATCCACTTGCAGTTTCTACAAAAAGAGTGTTTCAAAGCTGAACTATCAAAGAAAGGTTCAGCACTGTGAGTTGAATGCAAACATCACGAAGAGGGTTCTGAGAATGCTTCTGTCTTCTTTTTATAGGAAGTTATTTCCTTTACTACGGTAGGCCTCAAAGAAGTGCAATTATCCCCTTGCAGTTTCTACAAAAAGAGTGTTTCAAACCTGAACTATCAAAGAAAGGTTCCACACTGTGAGTTGAATGCAGACATCACGAAGAAGGTTCTGAGAATGCTTCTGTTTTAGTTCTGTGCGGTTTATCCCGTTTCCAACGAAATCCTCAGAGAGGCCGAAATATCCACTTGCAGATTTTACAAAGAGTGTGTTTCGAAACTGCTCCATCCAAAGGAATGTTCAGCTCTGTGAGTTCTACTCAATCATCCCAAAGAATTTTCTGAGAAAGCTTCTGTTTAGTTCTGTGCGGTTTATCCCTTTTCCAAAGAAATACTCAGAGAAGACCAAATATCCACTTGCAGTTTCTACAAAAAGAGTGTTTCAAAGCTGAACTATCAAAGAAAGGTTCAGCACTGTGAGTTGAATGCAAACATCACGAAGAGGGTTCTGAGAATGCTTCTGTATAGTTTTTATGTGAAGATGATTCCGTTTCCAACGAAATCTTCAAAGAGGTCTACATGTCCCCTTGCAGATGCCACAGAAAGAGAGTTTCAAAACTGCGCTCTCAAAAGGAGTGTTCAACTCCGTGAGTTGAATGCAGTCATCACAGAGAAGCTTCTGAGAATGCTTCTATCTAGTATTTAGGTGAAGATATTTCCTTTTCCACCACAAACCACAAAGCCCTCCAAACGTCCACTTGCAGATTCTAGAAAAAGAGTGTTTCATAGCTGCTCTTTCCAAAGGAAAGTTCAACTCTGGGAGTTGAATACAAACATCACCAAAAGGTTCCTGAGAATGCATCTGTCTAGTTTTTCTATGAAGCTATTCCCTTTACTAACATAGGCCTCAAAGCGCTCCAAATCTCCACTTGCACATTCCACAACAAGAGTGTTTCCAAACTGCTCTATCAATAGGAATGTTCAACTCTGTGAGGTGAATGCAATCATCACAAAGCAGTTTCTGAGAATGCTTCCGTTTAGTTAGGTGCAGTTATCCCGTTTCCAACGAAATCCTCAGAGAGGTCCAAATATCCACTTGTAGATTCTACAAAAAGTGTGTCTCAAACCTGCTCCATCCAAAGGAATGGTCAGCTCTGTGATTTAAACTCAATCATCACAAAGTATTTTCTGAGAATGCTTCTGTCTAGATTTTATGCGAAGATATACCCGTTTCGAACGAAGGCCACAGAGTGGTCCAAATAGCCACTTGCAGATCCTACAAAAAGAGTGTTTCAAACCTGAACTATCAAAGGAAGGTTCACCTCTGGGATTTGAATGCAAACATCACCAAGAAGTTTCTGAGAATGCTTCTGTTTAGTTTTTATGTGAAGATATTCCCGTTTCCAAAGACATCTTCGGAGAGGTCCACATATCCGCTTGCAGATTCCACAAAAAGAGAGTTTCAACACTGCTCTATCCATAGGAGGGTTCAACTCTGTGAGTTGAATGCAATCATCACAGAGAAGTTTCTGAGAAGGCTTCTCTCCAGTTTTTATGTGACCATAATTCGTTTTCCACCACAGGCCTGAAAGCGCTCCAAATGTCCACTTGCAGACACTACGAAAAGCATGTTTCAGAACTACTCTATGAGAAGCAATGTGAAACTCTGGGAGTTGAACACAAACATCACAGAGAAGTTTCTGAGAATGCTTCTGTTTAGCTTTTCTGTGAAGATTCTCCCGTTTCCAACGAAATCTTCAAAGAGGTCCAAATATCCACTTGCAGATTCCACAGAAAGAGTGATTGGAAACTGCTCTTTGAAAAGGAACCTTCAACTCTGTGACTTGTATGCAATCATCACAAAGAAGTTTCTGACAATGCTTCTATCTAGCTTTTACGGGAAGATAATTCCTTTTCCACCACAGGCCTCAAAGCCCTCCAAATGTCCACTTGCAGATTCTGGAAAAAGAGTGTTTCAAAGCTTCTCTCTCGAAAGGAAAGTTCAACTCTGTGAGTTGAATGCAAGCATCACAAAGAAGTTTCTGAGAATGCTACTGTCTAGCTTTTATATGAAGCTATTTCCTTTACTACCATAGGCCTCAAAGCGGTCCATATCTCCACTTGCAGATTCTACACAAAGAGAGTTTCCAAACTGCTCTGTCAAAGGGAATGTTCAACTCTGTGACTTGAATGCAATCGTCACAAAGTAGTTTCTGAGAATGCTTCTGTTTTAGTTCTGTGCGTTTTATCCCGTTTCCAACGAAATCCTCAGAGAGGCCCAAATATCCACTTGCAGATTCTACAAATAGTGTGTTTCGAAACTGCTCCATCCAAAGGAATGTTCAGCTCTGTGAGTTAAACTCAGTCGTCACCAAGAGTTTTCTGTGAATGCTTCTGTTTTAGTTCTGTGCGGGTTATCCCGTTTCCAACGAAATCCTCAGAGAGGTCCAAATATCTACTTGCAGTTTCTACAGAAAGACCGTTTCAAACCTGAACTATCAAAGAAAGGTTCAACACTGTGAGTTGAATGCAAACATCACGAAGAAGGTTCTGAGAATGCTTCTGTTTAGTTCTGTGCGGTTTATCCCGTTTCCAACGAAATCCTCAGAGAGGACCAAATATCCACTTGCAGTTTCTACAAGAAGAGTGTTTCAAAGCTGAACTATCAAAGAAAGGTTCAGCACTGTGAGTTGAATGCAAACATCACGAAGAGGGTTCTGAGAATGCTTCTGTCTTCTTTTTATAGGAAGTTATCTCCTTTACTACGGTAGGCCTCAAAGAAGTGCAATGATCCCCTTGCAGTTTCTCCAAAAAGAGTGTTTCAAACCTGAACTATCAAAGAAAGGTTCCACACTGTGAGTTGAATGCAGACATCACGAAGAAGGTTCTGAGAATGCTTCTGTTTAGTCAGCTGAAATTATCCCGTTTCCAACGAATTCCTCAGAGAGGTCCAAATATGCACTTGCAGATTCTGCAGAAAGTGTGTTTCTAAACTGCTACATCGCAAGGAATGTTCAGCTCTGTGAGTTCCACTCAATCATCCCAAAGAATTTTCTGAGAAAGCTTCTGTCTAGATGTCATGTGAAGATATACCCGTTTCGAACGAAGGACACAGAGTGGTCCAAATATCCACTTGTAGATCCTGCAAAAAGAGTGTTTCAAACGTGAACTTTGAAAGGCAAGTTCAACTCTGGGATTTGAATGCAAACATCACAAAGAAGATTCTGAGACTGCTTCTGTATAGTTTTTATGTGAAGATGATTCCGTTTCCAACGAAATCTTCAAAGAGGTCTACATGTCCCCTTGCAGATGCCACAGAAAGAGAGTTTCAAAACTGCGCTCTCAAAAGGAGTGTTCAACTCCGTGAGTTGAATGCAGTCATCACAGAGAAGCTTCTGAGAATGCTTCTATCTAGTATTTAGGTGAAGATATTTCCTTTTCCACCACAAACCACAAAGCCCTCCAAACGTCCACTTGCAGATTCTAGAAAAAGAGTGTTTCATAGCTGCTCTTTCCAAAGGAAAGTTCAACTCTGGGAGTTGAATACAAACATCACCAAAAAGTTCCTGAGAATGCATCTGTCTGGTTTTTCTATGAAGCTATTCCCTTTACTACCATAGGCCTCAAAGCGCTCCAAATCTCCACTTGCACATTCCACAACAAGAGTGTTTCCAAACTGCTCTATCAATAGGAATGTTCAACTCTGTGAGGTGAATGCAATCATCACAAAGCAGTTTCTGAGAATGCTTCCGTTTAGTTAGGTGCAGTTATCCCGTTTCCAACGAAATCCTCAGAGAGGTCCAAATATCCACTTGTAGATTCTACAAAAAGTGTGTCTCAAACCTGCTCCATCCAAAGGAATGTTCAGCTCTGTGATTTAAACTCAATCATCACAAAGTATTTTCTGAGAATGCTTCTGTCTAGATTTTATGCGAAGATATACCCGTTTCGAACGAAGGCCACAGAGTGGTCCAAATAGCCACTTGCAGATCCTACAGAAAGAGTGTTTCAAACCTGAACTATCAAAGGAAGGTTCAACTCTGGGATTTGAATGCAAACATCACCAAGAAGTTTCTGAGAATGCTTCTGTTTAGTTTTTATGTGAAGATATTCCCGTTTCCAAAGACATCTTCGGAGAGGTCCACATATCCACTTGCAGATTCCACAAAAAGAGAGTTTCAACACTGCTCTATCCATAGGAGGGTTCAACTCTGTGAGTTGAATGCAATCATCACAGAGAAGTTTCTGAGAAGGCTTCTCTCCAGTTTTTATGTGACCATAATTCGTTTTCCACCACAGGCCTGAAAGCGCTCCAAATGTCCACTTGCAGACACTACGAAAAGCATGTTTCAGAACTACTCTATGAAAAGCAATGTGAAACTCTGGGAGTTGAACACAAACATCACAGAGAAGTTTCTGAGAATGCTTCTGTTTTAGTTCTGTGCGTTTTATCCCGTTTCCAACGAAATCCTCAGAGAGGCCCAAATATCCACTTGCAGATTCCACAGAAAGAGTGATTGGAAACTGCTGTTTGAAAAGGAACCTTCAACTCTGTGAGTTGAATGCAATCATCACAAAGAAGTTTCTGACAATGCTTCTATCTAGCTTTTACGGGAAGTTAATTCCTTTTCCACCACAGGCCTCAAAGCCCTCCAAATGTCCACTTGCAGATTCTGGAAAAAGAGTGTTTCAAAGCTTCTCTCTCGAAAGGAAAGTTCAACTCTGTGAGTTGAATGCAAGCATCACAAAGAAGTTTCTGAGAATGCTACTGTCTAGCTTTTATATGAAGCTATTTCCTTTACTACCATAGGCCTCAAAGCGGTCCATATCTCCACTTGCAGATTCTACACAAAGAGAGTTTCCAAACTGCTCTGTCAAAGGGAATGTTCAACTCTGTGACTTGAATGCAATCATCACAAAGTAGTTTCTGAGAATGCTTCTGTTTAGTTCTGTGCGGTTTATCCCGTTTCCAACGAAATCCTCAGAGAGGCCTAAATATCCACTTGCACATTCTACAAATAGTGTGTTTCGAAACTGCTCCATCCAAAGGAATGTTCAGCTCTGTGAGTTAAACTCAGTCGTCACCAAGAGTTTTCTGTGAATGCTTCTGTTTTAGTTCTGTGCGGTTTATCCCGTTTCCAACGAAATCCTCAGAGAGGTCCAAATATCTACTTGCAGTTTCTACAGAAAGACCGTTTCCAACCTGAACTATCAAAGAAAGGTTCAACACTGTGAGTTGAATGCAAACATCACGAAGAAGGTTCTGAGAATGCTTCTGTTTAGTTCTGTGCAGTTTATCCCGTTTCCAACGAAATCCTCAGAGAGGACCAAATATCCACTTGCAGTTTCTACAAGAAGAGTGTTTCAAAGCTGAACTATCAAAGAAAGTTTCAGCACTGTGAGTTGAATGCAAACATCACGAAGAGGGTTCTGAGAATGCTTCTGTCTTCTTTCTATAGGAAGTTATTTCCTTTACTACGGTAGGCCTCAAAGAAGTGCAATTATCCCCTTGCAGTTTCTACAAAAAGAGTGTTTCAAACCTGAACTATCAAAGAAAGGTTCCACACTGTGAGTTGAATGCAGACATCACGAAGAAGGTTCTGAGAATGCTTCTGTTTAGTCAGCTGAAATTATCCCGTTTCCAACGAATTCCTCAGAGAGGTCCAAATATGCACTTGCAGATTCTGCAGAAAGTGTGTTTCTAAACTGCTACATCGCAAGGAATGTTCAGCTCTGTGAGTTCCACTCAATCATCCCAAAGAATTTTCTGAGAAAGCTTCTGTCTAGATGTCATGTGAAGATATACCCGTTTCGAACGAAGGACACAGAGTGGTCCAAATATCCACTTGTAGATCCTGCAAAAAGAGTGTTTCAAACGTGAACTTTGAAAGGAAAGTTCAACTCGGGGATTTGAATGCAAACATCACAAAGAAGATTCTGAGACTGCTTCTGTATAGTTTTTATGTGAAGATGATTCCGTTTCCAACGAAATCTTCAAAGAGGTCTACATGTCCCCTTGCAGATGCCACAGAAAGAGAGTTTCAAAACTGCGCTCTCAAAAGGAGTGTTCAACTCCGTGAGTTGAATGCAGTCATCACAGAGAAGCTTCTGAGAATGCTTCTATCTAGTATTTAGGTGAAGATATTTCCTTTTCCACCACAAACCACAAAGCCCTCCAAACGTCCACTTGCAGATTCTAGAAAAAGAGTGTTTCATAGCTGCTCTTTCCAAAGGAAAGTTCAACTCTGGGAGTTGAATACAAACATCACCAAAAAGTTCCTGAGAATGCATCTGTCTAGTTTTTCTATGAAGCTATTCCCTTTACTACCATAGGCCTCAAAGCGCTCCAAATCTCCACTTGCACATTCCACAACAAGAGTGTTTCCAAACTGCTCTATCAATAGGAATGTTCAACTCTGTGAGGTGAATGCAATCATCACAAAGCAGTTTCTGAGAATGCTTCCGTTTAGTTAGGTGCAGTTATCCCGTTTCCAACGAAATCCTCAGAGAGGTCCAAATATCCACTTGTAGATTCTACAAAAAGTGTGTCTCAAACCTGCTCCATCCAAAGGAATGTTCAGCTCTGTGATTTAAACTCAATCATCACAAAGTATTTTCTGAGAATGCTTCTGTCTAGATTTTATGCGAAGATATACCCGTTTCGAACGAAGGCCACAGAGTGGTCCAAATAGCCACTTGCAGATCCTACAGAAAGAGTGTTTCAAACCTGAACTATCAAAGGAAGGTTCAACTCTGGGATTTGAATGCAAACATCACCAAGAAGTTTCTGAGAATGCTTCTGTTTAGTTTTTATGTGAAGATATTCCCGTTTCCAAAGACATCTTCGGAGAGGTCCACATATCCACTTGCAGATTCCACAAAAAGAGAGTTTCAACACTGCTCTATCCATAGGAGGGTTCAACTCTGTGAGTTGAATGCAATCATCACAGAGAAGTTTCTGAGAAGGCTTCTCTCCAGTTTTTATGTGACCATAATTCGTTTTCCACCACAGGCCTGAAAGCGCTCCAAATGTCCACTTGCAGACACTACGAAAAGCATGTTTCAGAACTACTCTATGAGAAGCAATGTGAAACTCTGGGAGTTGAACACAAACATCACAGAGAAGTTTCTGAGAATGCTTCTGTTTAGCTTTTCTGTGAAGATTCTCCCGTTTCCAACGAAATCTTCAAAGAGGTCGAAATATCCACTTGCAGATTCCACAGAAAGAGTGATTGGAAACTGCTGTTTGAAAAGGAACCTTCAACTCTGTGAGTTGAATGCAATCATCACAAAGAAGTTTCTGACAATGCTTCTATCTAGCTTTTACGGGAAGATAATTCCTTTTCCACCACAGGCCTCAAAGCCCTCCAAATGTCCACTTGCAGATTCTGGAAAAAGAGTGTTTCAAAGCTTCTCTCTCGAAAGGAAAGTTCAACTCTGTGAGTTGAATGCAAGCATCACAAAGAAGTTTCTGAGAATGCTACTGTCTAGCTTTTATATGAAGCTATTTCCTTTACTACCATAGGCCTCAAAGCGGTCCATATCTCCACTTGCAGATTCTACACAAAGAGAGTTTCCAAACTGCTCTGTCAAAGGGAATGTTCAACTCTGTGACTTGAATGCAATCATCACAAAGTAGTTTCTGAGAATGCTTCTGTTTAGTTCTGTGCGGTTTATCCCGTTTCCAACGAAATCCTCAGAGAGGCCCAAATATCCACTTGCACATTCTACAAATAGTGTGTTTCGAAACTGCTCCATCCAAAGGAATGTTCAGCTCTGTGAGTTAAACTCAGTCGTCACCAAGAGTTTTCTGTGAATGCTTCTGTTTTAGTTCTGTGCGGTTTATCCCGTTTCCAACGAAATCCTCAGAGAGGTCCAAATATCTACTTGCAGTTTCTACAGAAAGACCGTTTCAAACCTGAACTATCAAAGAAAGGTTCAACACTGTGAGTTGAATGCAAACATCACGAAGAAGGTTCTGAGAATGCTTCTGTTTTAGTTCTGTGCGGTTTATCCCGTTTCCAACGAAATCCTCAGAGAGGACCAAACATCCACTTGCAGTTTCTACAAAAAGAGTGTTTCAAAGCTGCACTATCAAAGAAAGGTTCAGCACTGTGAGTTGAATGCAAACATCACGAAGAGGGCTCTGAGAATTCTTCTGTCTTCTTTCTATAGGAAGTTATTTCCTTTACTACGGTAGGCCTCAAAGAAGTGCAATTATCCCCTTGCAGTTTCTACAAAAAGAGTGTTTCAAACCTGAACTATCAAAGAAAGGTTCCACACTGTGAGTTGAATGCAGACATCACGAAGAAGGTTCTGAGAATGCTTCTGTTTAGTCAGCTGAAATTATCCCGTTTCCAACGAATTCCTCTGAGAGGTCCAAATATGCACTTGCAGATTCTGCAGAAAGTGTGTTTCTAAACTGCTACATCGCAAGGAATGTTCAGCTCTGTGAGTTCCACTCAATCATCCCAAACAATTTTCTGAGAAAGCTTCTGTCTAGATGTCGTGTGAAGATATACCCGTTTCGAACGAAGGACACAGAGTGGTCCAAATATCCACTTGTAGATCCTGCAAAAAGAGTGTTTCAAACGTGAACTTTGAAAGGAAAGTTCAACTCTGGGATTTGAATGCAAACATCACAAAGAAGATTCTGAGACTACTTCTGTATAGTTTTTATGTGAAGATGATTCCGTTTCCAACGAAATCTTCAAAGAGGTCTACATGTCCCCTTGCAGATGCCACAGAAAGAGAGTTTCAAAACTGCGCTCTCAAAAGGAGTGTTCAACTCCGTGAGTTGAATGCAGTCATCACAGAGAAGCTTCTGAGAATGCTTCTATCTAGTATTTAGGTGAAGATATTTCCTTTTCCACCACAAACCACAAAGCCCTCCAAACGTCCACTTGCAGATTCTAGAAAAAGAGTGTTTCATAGCTGCTCTTTCCAAAGGAAAGTTCAACTCTGGGAGTTGAATACAAACATCACCAAAAAGTTCCTGAGAATGCATCTGTCTAGTTTTTCTATGAAGCTATTCCCTTTACTACCATAGGCCTCAAAGCGCTCCAAATCTCCACTTGCACATTCCACAACAAGAGTGTTTCCAAACTGCTCTATCAATAGGAATGTTCAACTCTGTGAGGTGAATGCAATCATCACAAAGCAGTTTCTGAGAATGCTTCCGTTTAGTTAGGTGCAGTTATCCCGTTTCCAACGAAATCCTCAGAGAGGTCCAAATATCCACTTGTAGATTCTACAAAAAGTGTGTCTCAAACCTGCTCCATCCAAAGGAATGGTCAGCTCTGTGATTTAAACTCAATCATCACAAAGTATTTTCTGAGAATGCTTCTGTCTAGATTTTATGTGAAGATGTACCCGTTTCGAACGAAGGCCACAGAGTGGTCCAAATATCCACTTGCAGATCCTACAAAAAGAGTGTTTCAAACCTGAACTATCACAGGAAGGTTCAACTCTGGGATTTGAATGCAAACATCACCAAGAAGTTTCTGAGAATGCTTCTGTTTAGTTTTTATGTGAAGATATTCCCGTTTCCAAAGACATCTTCGGAGAGGTCCACATATCCACTTGCAGATTCCACAAAAAGAGAGTTTCAACACTGCTCTATCCATAGGAGGGTTCAACTCTGTGAGTTGAATGCAATCATCACAGAGAAGTTTCTGAGAAGGCTTCTCTCCAGTTTTTATGTGACCATAATTCGTTTTCCACCACAGGCCTGAAAGCGCTCCAAATGTCCACTTGCAGACACTACGAAAAGCATGTTTCAGAACTACTCTATGAAAAGCAACGTGAAACTCTGGGAGTTGAACACAAACATCACAGAGAAGTTTCTGAGAATGCTTCTGTTTAGCTTTTCTGTGAAGATTCTCCCGTTTCCAACGAAATCTTCAAAGGAGGTCCAAATATCCACTTGCAGATTCCACAGAAAGAGTGATTGGAAACTGCTCTTTGAAAAGGAACCTTCAACTCTGTGACTTGAATGCAATCATCACAAAGAAGTCTCTGACAATGCTTCTATCTAGCTTTTACGGGAAGTTAATTCCTTTTCCACCACAGGCCTCAAAGCCCTCCAAATGTCCACTTGCAGATTCTGGAAAAAGAGTGTTTCAAAGCTTCTCTCTCGAAAGGAAAGTTCAACTCTGTGAGTTGAATGCAAGCATCACAAAGAAGTTTCTGAGAATGCTACTGTCTAGCTTTTATATGAAGCTATTTCCTTTACTACCATAGGCCTCAAAGCGGTCCATATCTCCACTTGCAGATTCTACACAAAGAGAGTTTCCAAACTGCTCTGTCAAAGGGAATGTTCAACTCTGTGACTTGAATGCAATCATCACAAAGTAGTTTCTGAGAATGCTTCTGTTTTAGTTCTGTGCGGTTTATCCCGTTTCCAACGAAATCCTCAGAGGGGCCCAAATATCCACTTGCAGATTCTACAAATAGTGTGTTTCAAAACTGCTCCATCCAAAGGAATGTCCAGCTCTGTGAGTTAAACTCAGTCGTCACCAAGAGTTTTCTGTGAATGCTTCTGTTTTAGTTCTGTGCGGGTTATCCCGTTTCCAACGAAATCCTCAGAGAGGTCCAAATATCTACTTGCAGTTTCTACAGAAAGACCGTTTCAAACCTGAACTATCAAAGAAAGGTTCAACACTGTGAGTTGAATGCAAACATCACGAAGAAGGTTCTGAGAATGCTTCTGTTTAGTTCTGTGCGGTTTATCCCGTTTCCAACGAAATCCTCAGAGGGGACCAAATATCCACTTGCAGTTTCTACAAAAAGAGTGTTTCAAAGCTGAACTATCAAAGAAAGGTTCAGCACCGTGAGTTGAATGCAAACATCACGAAGAGGGTTCTGAGAATGCTTCTGTCTTCTTTCTATAGGAAGTTATTTCCTTTACTACGGTAGGCCTCAAAGAAGTGCAATTATCCCCTTGCAGTTTCTACAAAAAGAGTGTTTCAAACCTGAACTATCAAAGAAAGGTTCCACACTGTGAGTTGAATGCAGACATCACGAAGAAGGTTCTGAGAATGCTTCTGTTTAGTCAGCTGAAATTATCCCGTTTCCAACGAATTCCTCAGAGAGGTCCAAATATGCACTTGCAGATTCTGCAGAAAGTGTGTTTCTAAACTGCTACATCGCAAGGAATGTTCAGCTCTGTGAGTTCCACTCAATCATCCCAAAGAATTTTCTGAGAAAGCTTCTGTCTAGATGTCGTGTGAAGATATACCCGTTTCGAACGAAGGACACAGAGTGGTCCAAATATCCACTTGTAGATCCTGCAAAAAGAGTGTTTCAAACGTGAACTTTGAAAGGAAAGTTCAACTCTGGGATTTGAATGCAAACATCACAAAGAAGATTCTGAGACTGCTTCTGTATAGTTTTTATGTGAAGATGATTCCGTTTCCAACGAAATCTTCAAAGAGGTCTACATGTCCCCTTGCAGATGCCACAGAAAGAGAGTTTCAAAACTGCGCTCTCAAAAGGAGTGTTCAACTCCGTGAGTTGAATGCAGTCATCACAGAGAAGCTTCTGAGAATGCTTCTGTCTAGTATTTAGGTGAAGATATTTCCTTTTCCACCACAAACCACAAAGCCCTCCAAACGTCCACTTGCAGATTCTAGAAAAAGAGTGTTTCATAGCTGCTCTTTCCAAAGGAAAGTTCAACTCTGGGAGTTGAATACAAACATCACCAAAAAGTTCCTGAGAATGCATCTGTCTAGTTTTTCTATGAAGCTATTCCCTTTACTACCATAGGCCTCAAAGCGCTCCAAATCTCCACTTGCACATTCCACAACAAGAGTGTTTCCAAACTGCTCTATCAATAGGAATGTTCAACTCTGTGAGGTGAATGCAATCATCACAAAGCAGTTTCTGAGAATGCTTCCGTTTAGTTAGGTGCAGTTATCCCGTTTCCAACGAAATCCTCAGAGAGGTCCAAATATCCACTTGTAGATTCTACAAAAAGTGTGTCTCAAACCTGCTCCATCCAAAGGAATGGTCAGCTCTGTGATTTAAACTCAATCATCACAAAGTATTTTCTGAGAATGCTTCTGTCTAGATTTTATGCGAAGATGTACCCGTTTCGAACGAAGGCCACAGAGTGGTCCAAATATCCACTTGCAGATCCTACAAAAAGAGTGTTTCAAACCTGAACTATCAAAGGAAGGTTCAACTCTGGGATTTGAATGCAAACATCACCAAGAAGTTTCTGAGAATGCTTCTGTTTAGTTTTTATGTGAAGATATTCCCGTTTCCAAAGACATCTTCGGAGAGGTCCACATATCCACTTGCAGATTCCACAAAAAGAGAGTTTCAACACTGCTCTATCCATAGGAGGGTTCAACTCTGTGAGTTGAATGCAATCATCACAGAGAAGTTTCTGAGAAGGCTTCTCTCCAGTTTTTATGTGACCATAATTCGTTTTCCACCACAGGCCTGAAAGCGCTCCAAATGTCCACTTGCAGACACTACGAAAAGCATGTTTCAGAACTACTCTATGAAAAGCAACGTGAAACTCTGGGAGTTGAACACAAACATCACAGAGAAGTTTCTGAGAATGCTTCTGTTTAGCTTTTCTGTGAAGATTCTCCCGTTTCCAACGAAATCTTCAAAGAGGTCCAAATATCCACTTGCAGATTCCACAGAAAGAGTGTTTGGAAACTGCTGTTTGTAAAGGAACCTTCATCTCTGTGAGTTGAATGCAATCATCACAAAGAAGTTTCTGACAATGCTTCTATCTAGCTTTTACGGGAAGTTAATTCCTTTTCCACCACAGGCCTCAAAGCCCTCCAAATGTCCACTTGCAGATTCTGGAAAAAGAGTGTTTCAAAGCTTCTCTCTCGAAAGGAAAGTTCAACTCTGTGAGTTGAATGCAAGCATCACAAAGAAGTTTCTGAGAATGCTACTGTCTAGCTTTTATATGAAGCTATTTCCTTTACTACCATAGGCCTCAAAGCGGTCCATATCTCCACTTGCAGATTCTACACAAAGAGAGTTTCCAAACTGCTCTGTCAAAGGGAATGTTCAACTCTGTGACTTGAATGCAATCATCACAAAGTAGTTTCTGAGAATGCTTCTGTTTAGTTCTGTGCGGTTTATCCCGTTTCCAACGAAATCCTCAGAGAGGCCCAAATATCCACTTGCACATTCTACAAATAGTGTGTTTCGAAACTGCTCCATCCAAAGGAATGTTCAGCTCTGTGAGTTAAACTCAGTCGTCACCAAGAGTTTTCTGTGAATGCTTTCTGTTTTAGTTCTGTGCGGTTTATCCCGTTTCCAACGAAATCCTCAGAGAGGTCCAAATATCTACTTGCAGTTTCTACAGAAAGACCGTTTCCAACCTGAACTATCAAAGAAAGGTTCAACACTGTGAGTTGAATGCAAACATCACGAAGAAGGTTCTGAGAATGCTTCTGTTTAGTTCTGGGCGTTTTATCCCTTTTCCAACGAAATCCTCAGAGAGGACCAAATATCCACTTGCAGTTTCTACAAAAAGAGTGTTTCAAAGCTGAACTATCAAAGAAAGGTTCAGCACTGTGAGTTCAATGCAAACATCACGAAGAGGGTTCTGAGAATGCTTCTGTCTTCTTTTTATAGGAAGTTATTTCCTTTACTACGGTAGGCCTCAAAGAAGTGCAATTATCCCCTTGCAGTCTCTACAAAAAGAGTGTTTCAAACCTGAAGTATCAAAGATATGTTCCACACTGTGAGTTGAATGCAGACATCACGAAGAAGGTTCTGAGAATGCTTCTGTTTAGTCAGCTGAAATTATCCCGTTTCCAACGAATTCCTCAGAGAGGTCCAAATATGCACTTGCAGATTCTGCAGAAAGTGTGTTTCTAAACTGCTCCATCGCAAGGAATGTTCAGCTCTGTGAGTTCAACTCAATCATCCCAAAGAATTTTCTGAGAAAGCTTCTGTCTAGATGTCATGTGAAGATATACCCGTTTCGAACGAAGGACACAGAGTGGTCCAAATATCCACTTGTAGATCCTGCAAAAAGAGTGTTTCAAACGTGAACTTTGAAAGGCAAGTTCAACTCTGGGATTTGAATGCAAACATCACAAAGAAGATTCTGAGACTGCTTCTGTATAGTTTTTATGTGAAGATGATTCCGTTTCCAACGAAATCTTCAAAGAGGTCTACATGTCCCCTTGCAGATGCCACAGAAAGAGAGTTTCAAAACTGCGCTCTCAAAAGGAGTGTTCAACTCCGTGAGTTGAATGCAGTCATCACAGAGAAGCTTCTGAGAATGCTTCTATCTAGTATTTAGGTGAAGATATTTCCTTTTCCACCACAAACCACAAAGCCCTCCAAACGTCCACTTGCAGATTCTAGAAAAAGAGTGTTTCATAGCTGCTCTTTCCAAAGGAAAGTTCAACTCTGGGAGTTGAATACAAACATCACCAAAAAGTTCCTGAGAATGCATCTGTCTAGTTTTTCTATGAAGCTATTCCCTTTACTACCATAGGCCTCAAAGCGCTCCAAATCTCCACTTGCACATTCCACAACAAGAGTGTTTCCAAACTGCTCTATCAATAGGAATGTTCAACTCTGTGAGGTGAATGCAATCATCACAAAGCAGTTTCTGAGAATGCTTCCGTTTAGTTAGGTGCAGTTATCGCGTTTCCAACGAAATCCTCAGAGAGGTCCAAATATCCACTTGTAGATTCTACAAAAAGTGTGTCTCAAACCTGCTCCATCCAAAGGAATGTTCAGCTCTGTGAGTTAAACTCAATCATCACAAAGTATTTTCTGAGAATGCTTCTGTCTAGATTTTATGCGAAGATGTACCCGTTTCGAACGAAGGCCACAGAGTGGTCCAAATATCCACTTGCAGATCCTACAAAAAGAGTGTTTCAAACCTGAACTATCAAAGGAAGGTTCAACTCTGGGATTTGAATGCAAACATCACCAAGAAGTTTCTGAGAATGCTTCTGTTTAGTTTTTATGTGAAGATATTCCCGTTTCCAAAGACATCTTCGGAGAGGTCCACATATCCACTTGCAGATTCCACAAAAAGAGAGTTTCAACACTGCTCTATCCATAGGAGGGTTCAACTCTGTGAGTTGAATGCAATCATCACAGAGAAGTTTCTGAGAAGGCTTCTCTCCAGTTTTTATGTGACCATAATTCGTTTTCCACCACAGGCCTGAAAGCGCTCCAAATGTGCACTTGTACACACTACGAAAAGCATGTTTCAGAACTACTCTATGAAAAGCAATGTGAAACTCTGGGAGTTGAACACAAACATCACAGAGAAGTTTCTGAGAATGCTTCTGTTTAGCTTTTCTGTGAAGATTCTCCCGTTTCCAACGAAATCTTCAAAATAGGTCCAAATATCCACTTGCAGATTCCACAGAAAGAGTGATTGGAAACTGCTCTTAGAAAAGGAACCTTCAACTCTGTGAGTTGAATGCAATCATCACAAAGAAGTTTCTGACAATGCTTCTATCTAGCTTTTACGGGAAGATAATTCCTTTTCCACCACAGGCCTCAAAGCCCTCCAAATGTCCACTTGCAGATTCTGGAAAAAGAGTGTTTCAAAGCTTCTCTCTCGAAAGGAAAGTTCAACTCTGTGAGTTGAATGCAAGCATCACAAAGAAGTTTCTGAGAATGCTACTGTCTAGCTTTTATATGAAACTATTTCCTTTACTACCATAGTCCTCAAAGCATTCCATATCTCCACTTGCAGATTCTACACAAAGAGAGTTTCCAAACTGCTCTATCAAAGGGAATGTTCAGCTCTGTGACTTGAATGCAATCATCACAAAGTAGTTTCTCAGAATGCTTCTGTTTTAGTTCTGTGCGGTTTATCCCGTTTCCAACGAAATCCTCAGAGAGGCCCAAATATCCACTTGCAGATTCTACAAAGAGTGTGTTTCGAAACTGTTCCATCCAAAGGAATGTTCAGCTCTGTGAGTTAAACTCAGTCGTCACCAAGTGTTTTCTGTGAATGCTTCTGTTTTTGTTCTGTGCGGTTTATCCCGTTTCCAACGAAATCCTCAGAGAGGTCCAAATATCTACTTGCAGTTTCTACAGAAAGACCGTTTCAAACCTGAACTATCAAAGAAAGGTTCAACACTGTGAGTTGAATGCAAACATCACGAAGAAGGTTCTGAGAATGCTTCTGTTTAGTTCTGTGCAGTTTATCCCGTTTCCAACGAAATCCTCAGAGAGGACCAAATATCCACTTGCAGTTTCTACAAAAAGTGTGTTTCAAAGCTGAACTATCAAAGAAAGGTTCAGCACTGTGAGTTGAATGCAAACATCACGAAGAGGGTTCTGAGAATGCTTCTGTCTTCTTTCTATAGGAAGTTATTTCCTTTACTACGGTAGGCCTCAAAGAAGTGCAATTATCCCCTTGCAGTTTCTACAAAAAGAGTGTTTCAAACCTGAACTATCAAAGAAAGGTTCCACACTGTGAGTTGAATGCAGACATCACGAAGAAGGTTCTGAGAATGCTTCTGTTTAGTCAGCTGAAATTATCCCGTTTCCAACGAATTCCTCACAGAGGTCCAAATATGCACTTGCAGATTCTGCAGAAAGTGTGTTTCTAAACTGCTACATCGCAAGGAATGCTCAGCTCTGTGAGTTCAACTCAATCATCCCAAAGAATTTTCTGAGAAAGCTTCTGTCTAGATGTCATGTGAAGATATACCCGTTTCGAACGAAGGACACAGAGTGGTCCAAATATCCACTTGTAGATCCTGCAAAAAGAGTGTTTCAAACGTGAACTTTGAAAGGCAAGTTCAACTCTGGGATTTGAATGCAAACATCACAAAGAAGATTCTGAGACTGCTTCTGTATAGTTTTTATGTGAAGATGATTCCGTTTCCAACGAAATCTTCAAAGAGGTCTACATGTCCCCTTGCAGATGCCACAGAAAGAGAGTTTCAAAACTGCGCTCTCAAAAGGAGTGTTCAACTCCGTGAGTTGAATGCAGTCATCACAGAGAAGCTTCTGAGGATGCTTCTATCTAGTATTTAGGTGAAGATATTTCCTTTTCCACCACAAACCACAAAGCCCTCCAAACGTCCACTTGCAGATTCTAGAAAAAGAGTGTTTCATAGCTGCTCTTTCCAAAGGAAAGTTCAACTCTGGGAGTGGAATACAAACATCACCAAAAAGTTCCTGAGAATGCATCGGTCTAGTTTTTCTATGAAGCTATTCCCTTTACTACCATAGACCTCAAAGCGCTCCAAATCTCCACTTGCACATTCCACAACAAGAGTGTTTCCAAACTGCTCTATCAATAGGAATGTTCAACTCTGTGAGGTGAATGCAATCATCACAAAGCAGTTTCTGGGAATGCTTCCGTTTAGTTAGGTGCAGTTATCCCGTTTCCAACGAAATCCTCAGAGAGGTCCAAATATCCACTTGTAGATTCTACAAAAGGTGTGTCTCAAACCTGCTCCATCCAAAGGAATGTTCAGCTCTGTGAGTTAAACTCAATCATCACAAAGTATTTTCTGAGAATGCTTCTGTCTAGATTTTATGCGAAGATATACCCGTTTCGAACGAAGGCCACAGAGTGGTCCAAATAGCCACTTGCAGATCCTACAGAAAGAGTGTTTCAAACCTGAACTATCAAAGGAAGGTTCAACTCTGGGATTTGAATGCAAACATCACCAAGAAGTTTCTGAGAATGCTTCTGTTTAGTTTTTATGTGAAGATATTCCCGTTTCCAAAGACATCTTCGGAGAGGTCCACATATCCACTTGCAGATTCCACAAAAAGAGAGTTTCAACACTGCTCTATCCATAGGAGGGTTCAACTCTGTGAGTTGAATGCAATCATCACAGAGAAGTTTCTGAGAAGGCTTCTCTCCAGTTTTTATGTGACCATAATTCGTTTTCCACCACAGGCCTGAAAGCGCTCCAAATGTCCACTTGCAGACACTACGAAAAGCATGTTTCAGAACTACTCTATGAAAAGCAACGTGAAACTCTGGGAGTTGAACACAAACATCACAGAGAAGTTTCTGAGAATGCTTCTGTTTAGCTTTCCTGTGAAGATTCTCCCGTTTCCAACGAAATCTTCAAAATAGGTCCAAATATCCACTTGCAGATTCCACACAAAGAGTGATTGGAAACTGCTCTTTGAAAAGGAACCTTCAACTCTGTGAGTTGAATGCAATCATCACAAAGAAGTTTCTGACAATGCTTCTATCTAGCTTTTACGGGAAGATAATTCCTTTTCCACCACAGGCCTCAAAGCCCTCCAAATGTCCACTTGCAGATTCTGGAAAAAGAGTGTTTCAAAGCTTCTCTCTCGAAAGGAAAGTTCAACTCTGTGAGTTGAATGCAAGCATCACAAAGAAGTTTCTGAGAATGCTACTGTCTAGCTTTTATATGAAGCTATTTCCTTTACTACCATAGGCCTCAAAGCGGTCCATATCTCCACTTGCAGATTCTACACAAAGAGAGTTTCCAAACTGCTCTGTCAAAGGGAATGTTCAACTCTGTGACTTGAATGCAATCATCACAAAGTAGTTTCTGAGAATGCTTCTGTTTTAGTTCTGTGCGGTTTATCCCGTTTCCAACGAAATCCTCAGAGAGGCCCAAATATCCACTTGCAGATTCTACAAATAGTGTGTTTCGAAACTGCTCCATCCAAAGGAATGTTCAGCTCTGTGAGTTAAACTCAGTCGTCACCAAGAGTTTTACTGTGAATGCTTCTGTTTTAGTTCTGTGCGGTTTATCCCGTTTCCAACGAAATCCTCAGAGAGGTCCAAATATCTACTTGCAGTTTCTACAGAAAGACCGTTTCAAACCTGAACTATCAAAGAAAGGTTCAACACTGTGAGTTGAATGCAAACATCACGAAGAAGGTTCTGAGAATGCTTCTGTTTAGTTCTGTGCGGTTTATCCCGTTTCCAACGAAATCCTCAGAGAGGACCAAATATCCACTTGCAGTTTCTACAAAAAGAGTGTTTCAAAGCTGAACTATCCAAGAAAGGTTCAGCACCGTGAGTTGAATGCAAACATCACGAAGAGGGTTCTGAGAATGCTTCTGTCTTCTTTTTATAGGAAGTTATTTCCTTTACTACGGTACTCCTCAAAGAGTGCAATTATCCCCTTGCAGTTTCTACAAAAAGAGTTTTTAAAACCTGAACTATCAAAGAAAAGTTCCACACTTTGTGTTGAATGCAGACATCACGAAGAAGGTTCTGAGAATGCTTCTGTTTAGTCAGCTGAAATTATTCCGTTTCCAACGAATTCCTCAGAGAGGTCCAAATATGCACTTGCAGATTCTGCAGAAAGTGTGTTTCTAAACTGCTACATCGCAAGGAATGTTAAGCTCTGTGACTTCCACTCAATCATCCCAAAGAATTTTCTGTGAAAGCTTCTGTCTAGATGTCATGTGAAGATATACCCGTTTCGAACGAAGGACACAGAGTGGTCCAAATATCCACTTGTAGATCCTGCAAAAAGAGTGTTTCAAACGTGAACTTCCAAAGGAAAGTTCAACTCTGGGATTTGAATGCAAACATCACAAAGACGATTCTGAGACTGCTCCTGTATAGTTTTTATGTGAAGATGATTCCGTTTCCAACGAAATCTTCAAAGAGTTCTACATGTCCCCTTGCAGATGTCACAGAAAGAGATTTTCAAAACTGCGCTCTCAATAGGAGTGTTCAACTCCGTGAGTTGAATGCAGTCATCACAGAGAAGCTTCTGAGAATGCTTCTCTCTAGTATTTAGGTGAAGATATTTCCTTTTCCACCACAAACCACAAAGCCCTCCAAACATCCACTTGCAGATTCTAGAAAAAGAGTGTTTCATAGCTGCTCTTTCCAAAGGAAAGTTCAACTCTGGGAGTTGAATACAAACATCAGCAAAAAGTTCCTGAGATTGCATCTGTCTAATTTTTCTATGAAGCTATTCCCTTTACTACCATAGGCCTCAAAGCGCTCCAAATCTCCACTTAAACATTCCACAACAAGAGTGTTTCCAAACTGCTCTATCAATAGGAATGTTCAACTCTGTGAGATGAATGCAATCATCACAAAGCAGTTTCTGAGAATGCTTCCGTTTAGTTAGGTGCAGTTATCCCGTTTCCAACGAAATCCTCAGAGAGGTCCAAATATCCACTTGTAGATTCTACAAAAAGTGTGTCTCAAACCTGCTCCATCCAAAGGAATGGTCAGCTCTGTGATTTAAACTCAATCATCACAAAGTATTTTCTGAGAATGCTTCTGTCTAGATTTTATGCGAAGATATACCCGTTTCGAACGAAGGCCACAGAGTGGTCCAAATAGCCACTTGCAGATCCTACAGAAAGAGTGTTTCAAACCTGAACTATCAAAGGAAGGTTCAACTCTGGGATTTGAATGCAAACATCACCAAGAAGTTTCTGAGAATGCTTCTGTTTAGTTTTTATGTGAAGATATTCCCGTTTCCAAAGACATCTTCGGAGAGGTCCACATATCCACTTGCAGATTCCACAAAAAGAGAGTTTCAACACTGCTCTATCCATAGGAGGGTTCAACTCTGTGAGTTGAATGCAATCATCACAGAGAAGTTTCTGAGAAGGCTTCTCTCCAGTTTTTAAGTGACCATAATTCGTTTTCCACCACAGGCCTGAAAGCGCTCCAAATGTCCACTTGCAGACACTACGAAAAGCATGTTTCAGAACTACTCTATGAAAAGCAACGTGAAACTCTGGGAGTTAAACACAAACATCACAGAGAAGTTTCTGAGAATGCTTCTGTTTAGCTTTTCTGTGAAGATTCTCCCGTTTCCAACGAAATCTTCAAAGAGGTCGAAATATCCACTTGCAGATTCCACAGAAAGAGTGATTGGAAACTGCTGTTTGAAAAGGAACCTTCAACTCTGTGAGTTGAATGCAATCATCTCAAAGAAGTTTCTGACAATGCTTCTATCTAGCTTTTACGGGAAGATAATTCCTTTTCCACCACAGGCCTCAAAGCCCTCCAAATGTCCACTTGCACATTCTGGAAAAAGAGTGTTTCAAAGCTTCTCTCTCGAAAGGAAAGTTCAACTCTGTGAGTTGAATGCAAGCATCACAAAGAAGTTTCTGAGAATGCTACTGTCTAGCTTTTATATGAAGCTATTTCCTTTACTACCATAGGCCTCAAAGCGGTCCATATCTCCACTTGCAGATTCTACACAAAGAGAGTTTCCAAACTGCTCTGTCAAAGGGAATGTTCAACTCTGTGACTTGAATGCAATCATCACAAAGTAGTTTCTGAGAATGCTTCTGTTTAGTTCTGTGCGGTTTATCCCGTTTCCAACGAAATCCTCAGAGAGGCCTAAATATCCACTTGCACATTCTACAAATAGTGTGTTTCGAAACTGCTCCATCCAAAGGAATGTTCAGCTCTGTGAGTTAAACTCAGTCGTCACCAAGAGTTTTCTGTGAATGCTTCTGTTTTAGTTCTGTGCGGGTTATCCCGTTTCCAACGAAATCCTCAGAGAGGTCCAAATATCTACTTGCAGTTTCTACAGAAAGACCGTTTCAAACCTGAACTATCAAAGAAAGGTTCAACACTGTGAGTTGAATGCAAACATCACGAAGAAGGTTCTGAGAATGCTTCTGTTTTAGTTCTGTGCGGTTTATCCCGTTTCCAACGAAATCCTCAGAGAGGACCAAACATCCACTTGCAGTTTCTACAAAAAGAGTGTTTCAAAGCTGCACTATCAAAGAAAGGTTCAGCACTGTGAGTTGAATGCAAACATCACGAAGAGGGCTCTGAGAATTCTTCTGTCTTCTTTCTATAGGAAGTTATTTCCTTTACTACGGTAGGCCTCAAAGAAGTGCAATTATCCCCTTGCAGTTTCTACAAAAAGAGTGTTTCAAACCTGAACTATCAAAGAAAGGTTCCACACTGTGAGTTGAATGCAGACATCACGAAGAAGGTTCTGAGAATGCTTCTGTTTAGTCAGCTGAAATTATCCCGTTTCCAACGAATTCCTCAGAGAGGTCCACATATGCACTTGCAGATTCTGCAGAAAGTGTGTTTCTAAACTGCTACATCGCAAGGAATGTTCAGCTTCTGTGAGTTCCACTCAATCATCCCAAAGAATTTTCTGAGAAAGCTTCTGTCTAGATGTCATGTGAAGATATACCCGTTTCGAACGAAGGACACAGAGTGGTCCAAATATCCACTTGTAGATCCTGCAAAAAGAGTGTTTCAAACGTGAACTTTGAAAGAAAGCTCAACTCTGGGATTTGAATGCAAACATCACAAAGAAGATTCTAAGACTGCTTCTGTATAGTTTTGATGTGAAGATGATTCCGTTTCCAACGAAATCTTCAAAGAGGTCTACATGTCCCCTTGCAGATGCCACAGAAAGAGAGTTTCAAAACTGCGCTCTCAAAAGGAGTGTTCAACTCCGTGAGTTGAATGCAGTCATCACAGAGAAGCTTCTGAGAATGCTTCTATCTACTATTTAGGTGAAGATATTTCCTTTTCCACCACAAACCACAAAGCCCTCCAAACGTCCACTTGCAGATTCTAGAAAAAGAGTGTTTCATAGCTGCTCTTTCCAAAGGAAAGTTCAACTCTGGGAGTTGAATACAAACATCACGAAAAAGTTCCTGAGAATGCATCTGTCTAGTTTTTCTATGAAGCTATTCCCTTTACTACCATAGGCCTCAAAGCGCTCCAAATCTCCACTTGCACATTCCACAAGAAGAGTGTTTCCAAACTGCTCTATCAATAGGAATGTTCAACTCTGTGAGGTGAATGCAATCATCACAAAGCAGTTTCTGAGAATGCTTCCGTTTAGTTAAGTGCAGTTATCCCGTTTCCAACGAAATCCTCAGAGAGGTCCAAATATCCACTTGTAGATTCTACAAAAAGTGTGTCTCAAACCTGCTCCATCCAAAGGAATGTTCAGCTCTGTGAGTTCAACTCAATCATCACAAAGTATTTTCTGAGAATGCTTCTGTCTAGATTTTATGCGAAGATATACCCGTTTCGAACGAAGGCCACAGAGTGGTCCAAATAGCCACTTGCAGATCCTACAAAAAGAGTGTTTCAAACCTGAACTATCAAAGGAAGGTTCAACTCTGGGATTTGAATGCAAACATCACCAAGAAGTTTCTGAGAATGCTTCTGTTTAGTTTTTATGTGAAGATATTCCCGTTTCCAAAGACATCTTCGGAGAGGTCCACATATCCACTTGCAGATTCCACAAAAAGAGAGTTTCAACACTGCTCTATCCATAGGGAGGGTTCAACTCTGTGAGTTGAATGCAATCATCACAGAGAAGTTTCTGAGAAGGCTTCTCTCCAGTTTTTATGTGACCATAATTCGTTTTCCACCACAGGACTGGAAGCGCTCCAAATGTCCACTTGTAGACACTACGAAAAGCATGTTTCAGAACTACTCTATGAAAAGCAATGTGAAACTCTGGGAGTTGAACACAAACATCACAGAGAAGTTTCTGAGAATGCTTCTGTTTAGCTTTTCTGTGAAGATTATCCCGTTTCCAACGAAATCTTCAAAATAGGTCGAAATATCCACTTGCAGATTCCACAGAAAGAGTGATTGGAAACTGCTCTTTGAAAAGGAACCTTCAACTCTGTGAGTTGAATGCAATCATCACAAAGAAGTTTCTGACAATGCTTCTATCTAGCTTTTACGGGAAGTTAATTCCTTTTCCACCACAGGCCTCAAAGCCCTCCAAATGTCCACTTGCAGATTCTGGAAAAAGAGTGTTTCAAAGCTTCTCTCTCGAAAGGAAAGTTCAACTCTGTGAGTTGAATGCAAGCATCACAAAGAAGTTTCTGAGAATGTTACTGTCTAGCTTTTATATGAAGCTATTTCCTTTACTACCATAGGCCTCAAAGCGGTCCATATCTCCACTTGCAGATTCTACACAAAGAGAGTTTCCAAACTGCTCTGTCAAAGGGAATGTTCAACTCTGTGACTTGAATGCAATCATCACAAAGTAGTTTCTGAGAATGCTTCTGTTTAGTTCTGTGCGGTTTATCCCGTTTCCAACGAAATCCTCAGAGAGGCCTAAATATCCACTTGCACATTCTACAAATAGTGTGTTTCGAAACTGCTCCATCCAAAGGAATGTTCAGCTCTGTGAGTTAAACTCAGTCGTCACCAAGAGTTTTCTGTGAATGCTTCTGTTTTAGTTCTGTGCGGGTTATCCCGTTTCCAACGAAATCCTCAGAGAGGTCCAAATATCTACTTGCAGTTTCTACAGAAAGACCGTTTCAAACCTGAACTATCAAAGAAAGGTTCAACACTGTGAGTTGAATGCAAACATCACGAAGAAGGTTCTGAGAATGCTTCTGTTTAGTTCTGTGCGGTTTATCCCGTTTCCAACGAAATCCTCAGAGAGGACCAAATATCCACTTGCAGTTTCTACAAGAAGAGTGTTTCAAAGCTGAACTATCAAAGAAAGGTTCAGCACTGTGAGTTGAATGCAAACATCACGAAGAGGGTTCTGAGAATGCTTCTGTCTTCTTTCTATAGGAAGTTATTTCCTTTACTACGGGTAGGCCTCAAAGAAGTGCAATTATCCCCTTGCAGTTTCTACAAAAAGAGTGTTTCAAACCTGAACTATCAAAGAAAGGTTCCACACTGTGAGTTGAATGCAGACATCACGAAGAAGGTTCTGAGAATGCTTCTGTTTAGTCAGCTGAAATTATCCCGTTTCCAACGAATTCCTCAGAGAGGTCCAAATATGCACTTGCAGATTCTGCAGAAACTGTGTTTCTAAACTGCTACATCGCAAGGAATGTTCAGCTCTGTGAGTTCCACTCAATCATCCCAAAGAATTTTCTGAGAAAGCTTCTGTCTAGATGTCATGTGAAGATATACCCGTTTCGAACGAAGGACACAGAGTGGTCCAAATATCCACTTGTAGATCCTGCAAAAAGAGTGTTTCAAACGTGAACTTTGAAAGGAAAGTTCAACTCTGGGATTTGAATGCAAACACCACAAAGAAGATTCTGAGACTGCTTCTGTATAGTTTTTATGTGAAGATGATTCCGTTTCCAACGAAATCTTCAAAGAGGTCTACATGTCCCCTTGCAGATGCCACAGAAAGGGAGTTTCAAAACTGCGCTCTCAAAAGGAGTGTTCAACTCCGTGAGTTGAATGCAGTCATCACAGAGAAGCTTCTGAGAATGCTTCTCTCTAGTATTTAGGTGAAGATATTTCCTTTTCCACCACAAACCACAAAGCCCTCCAAACGTCCACTTGCAGATTCTAGAAAAAGAGTGTTTCATAGCTGCTCTTTCCAAAGGAAAGTTCAACTCTGGGAGTTGAATACAAACATCACCAAAAAGTTCCTGAGAATGCATCTGTCTAGTTTTTCTATGAAGCTATTCCCTTTACTACCATAGGCCTCAAAGCGCTCCAAATCTCCACTTGCACATTCCACAACAAGAGTGTTTCCAAACTGCTCTATCAATAGGAATGTTCAACTCTGTGAGGTGAATGCAATCATCACAAAGCAGTTTCTGAGAATGCTTCCGTTTAGTTAGGTGCAGTTATCCCGTTTCCAACGAAATCCTCAGAGAGGTCCAAATATCCACTTGTAGATTCTACAAAAAGTGTGTCTCAAACCTGCTCCATCCAAAGGAATGTTCAGCTCTGTGAGTTCAACTCAATCATCACAAAGTATTTTCTGAGAATGCTTCTGTCTAGATTTTATGCGAAGATATACCCGTTTCGAACGAAGGCCACAGAGTGGTCCAAATATCCACTTGCAGATCCTACAAAAAGAGTGTTTCAAACCTGAACTATCAAAGGAAGGTTCGACTCTGGGATTTGAATGCAAACATCACCAAGAAGTTTCTGAGAATGCTTCTGTTTAGTTTTTATGTGAAGATATTCCCGTTTCCAAAGACATCTTCGGAGAGGTCCACATATCCACTTGCAGATTCCACAAAAAGAGAGTTTCAACACTGCTCTATCCATAGGAGGGTTCAACTCTGTGAGTTGAATGCAATCATCACAGAGAAGTTTCTGAGAAGGCTTCTCTCCAGTTTTTATGTGACCATAATTCGTTTTCCACCACAGGCCTGAAAGCGCTCCAAATGTCCCCTTGCAGACCCTACGAAAAGCATGTTTCAGAACTACTCTATGAAAAGCAATGTGAAACTCTGGGAGTTGAACACAAACATCAGAGAGAAGTTTCTGAGAATGCTTCTGTTTAGCTTTTCTGTGAAGATTCTCCCGTTTCCAACGAAATCTTCAAAGAGGTCCAAACATCCACTTGCAGATTCCACAGAAAGAGTGATTGGAAACTGCTGTTTGAAAAGGAACCTTCAACTCTGTGAGTTGAATGCAATCATCACAAAGAAGTTTCTGACAATGCTTCTATCTAGCTTTTACGGAAGATAATTCCTTTTCCACCACAGGCCTCAAAGCCCTCCAAATGTCCACTTGCAGATTCTGGAAAAAGAGTGTTTCAAAGCTTCTCTCTCGAAAGGAAAGTTCAAATCTGTGAGTTGAATGCAAGCATCACAAAGAAGTTTCTGAGAATGCTACTGTCTAGCTTTTATATGAAGCTATTTCCTTTACTACCATAGGCCTCAAAGCGGTCCATATCTCCACTTGCATTTTCTACACAAAGAGAGTTTCCAAACTGCTCTGTCAAAGGGAATGTTCAACTCTGTGACTTGAATGCAATCATCACAAAGTAGTTTCTGAGAATGCTTCTGTTTAGTTCTGTGCGGTTTATCCCGTTTCCAACGAAATCCTCAGAGAGGCCCAAATATCCACTTGCACATTCTACAAATAGTGTGTTTCGAAACTGCTCCATCCAAAGGAATGTTCAGCTCTGTGAGTTAAACTCAGTCGTCACCAAGAGTTTTCTGTGAATGCTTCTGTTTTAGTTCTGTGCGGTTTATCCCGTTTCCAACGAAATCCTCAGAGAGGGCCAAATATCTACTTGCAGTTTCTACAGAAAGACCGTTTCAAAGCTGAACTATCAAAGAAAGGTTCAACACTGTGAGTTGAATGCAAACATCACGAAGAAGGTTCTGAGAATGCTTCTGTTTAGTTCTGTGCGGTTTATCCCGTTTCCAACGAAATCCTCAGAGAGGACCAAATATCCACTTGCAGTTTCTACAAAAAGAGTGTTTCAAAGCTGAACTATCAAAGAAACGTTCAGCACTGTGAGTTGAATGCAAACATCACGAAGAGGGTTCTGAGAATGCTTCTGTCTTCTTTTTATAGGAAGTTATTTCCTTTACTACGGTAGGCCTCAAAGAAGTGCAATTATCCCCTTGCAGTCTCTACAAAAAGAGTGTTTCAAGCCTGAACTATCAAAGAAAGGTTCCACACTGTGAGTTGAATGCAGACACCACGAAGAAGGTTCTGAGAATGCTTCTGTTTAGTCAGCTGAAATTATCCCGTTTCCAACGAATTCCTCAGAGAGGTCCAAATATGCACTTGCAGATTCTGCAGAAAGTGTGTTTCTAAACTGCTACATCGCAAGGAATGTTCAGCTCTGTGAGTTCCACTCAATCATCCCAAAGAATTTTCTGAGAAAGCTTCTGTCTAGATGTCATGTGAAGATATACCCGTTTCGAACGAAGTACACAGAGTGGTCCAAATATCCACTTGTAGATCCTGCAAAAAGAGTGTTTCAAATGTGAACTTTGAAAGGAAAGTTCAACTCTGGGATTTGAATGCAAACATCGCAAAGAAGATTCTGAGACTGCTTCTGTATAGTTTTTATGTGAAGATGATTCCGTTTCCAACGAAATCTTCAGAGAGGTCTACATGTCCCCTTGCAGATGCCACAGAAAGAGAGTTTCAAAACTGCACTCTCAAAAGGAGTGTTCAACTCTGTGAGTTGAATGCAGTCATCACAGAGAAGCTTCTGAGAATGCTTCTATCTAGTATTTAGGTGAAGATATTTCCTTTTCCACCACAAACCACAAAGCCCTCCAAACGTCCACTTGCAGATTCTAGAGAAACAGTGTCTCATAGCTGCTCTTTCCAAAGGAAAGTTCAACTCTGGGAGTTGAATACAAACATCACCAAAAAGTTCCTGAGAATGCATCTGTCTAGTTTTTCTATGAAGCTATTCCCTTTACTACCATAGGCCTCAAAGCGCTCCAAATCTCCACTTGCACATTCCACAACAAGAGTGTTTCCAAACTGCTCTATCAATAGGAATGTTCAACTCTGTGAGGTGAATGCAATCATCACAAAGCAGTTTCTGAGAATGCTTCCGTTTAGTTAGGTGCAGTTATCCCGTTTCCAACGAAATCCTCAGAGAGGTCCAAATATCCACTTGTAGATTCTACAAAAGGTGTGTCTCAAACCTGCTCCATCCAAAGGAATGTTCAGCTCTGTGAGTTAAACTCAATCATCACAAAGTATTTTCTGAGAATGCTTCTGTCTACATATTATGCGAAGATGTACCCGTTTTGAACGAAGGCCACAGTGTGGTCCAAATATCCACTTGCAGATCCTACAAAAAGAGTGTTTCAAACCTGAACTATCAAAGGAAGGTTCAACTCTGGGATTTGAATGCAAACATCACCAAGAAGTTTCTGAGAATGCTTCTGTTTAGTTTTTATGTGAAGATATTCCCGTTTCCAAAGACATCTTCGGAGAGGTCCACATATCCACTTGCAGATTCCACAAAAAGAGAGTTTCAACACTGCTCTATCCATAGGAGGGTTCAACTCTGTGAGTTGAATGCAATCATCACAGAGAAGTTTCTGAGAAGGCTTCTCTCCAGTTTTTATGTGACCATAATTCGTTTTCCACCACAGGCCTGAAAGCGCTCCAAATGTCCACTTGCAGACACTACGAAAAGCATGTTTCAGAACTACTCTATGAAAAGCAATGTGAAACTCTGGGAGTTGAACACAAACATCACAGAGAAGTTTCTGAGAATGCTTCTGTTTGGCTTTTCTGTGAAGATTATCCCGTTTCCAACGAAATCTTCAAAATAGGTCCAAATATCCACTTGCAGATTCCACAGAAAGAGTGATTGGAAACTGCTGTTTGAAAAGGAACCTTCAACTCTCTGAGTTGAATGCAATCATCACAAAGAAGTTTCTGACAATGCTTCTATCTAGCTTTTACGGGATGATAATTCCTTTTCCACCACAGGCCTCAAAGCCCTCCAAATGTCCACTTGCAGATTCTGGAAAAAGAGTGTTTCAAAGCTTCTCTCTCGAAAGGAAAGTTCAACTCTGTGAGTTGAATGCAAGCATCACAAAGAAGTTTCTGAGAATGCTACTGTCTAGCTTTTATATGAAGCTATTTCCTTTACTACCATAGGCCTCAAAGCGGTCCATATCTCCACTTGCAGATTCTACACAAAGAGAGTTTCCAAACTGCTCTGTCAAAGGGAATGTTCAACTCTGTGACTTGAATGCAATCATCACAAAGTAGTTTCTGAGAATGCTTCTGTTTTAGTTCTGTGCGTTTTATCCCGTTTCCAACGAAATCCTCAGAGAGGCCCAAGTATCCACTTGCAGATTCTACAAATAGTGTGTTTCGAAACTGCTCCATCCAAAGGAATGTTCAGCTCTGTGAGTTAAACTCAGTCGTCACCAAGAGTTTTCTGTGAATGCTTCTGTTTAGTTCTGTGCGGTTTATCCCGTTTCCAACGAAATCCTCAGAGAGGTCCAAATATCTACTTGCAGTTTCTACAGAAAGACCGTTTCAAACCTGAACTATCAAAGAAAGGTTCAACACTGTGAGTTGAATGCAAACATCACGAAGAAGGTTCTGAGAATGCTTCTGTTTTAGTTCTGTGCGGTTTATCCCGTTTCCAACGAAATCCTCAGAGAGGACCAAACATCCACTTGCAGTTTCTACAAAAAGAGTGTTTCAAAGCTGCACTATCAAAGAAAGGTTCAGCACTGTGAGTTGAATGCAAACATCACGAAGAGGGCTCTGAGAATTCTTCTGTCTTCTTTTTATAGGAAGTTATTTCCTTTACTACGGTACTCCTCAAAGAGTGCAATTATCCCCTTGCAGTTTCTACAAAAAGAGTGTTTCAAACCTGAACTATCAAAGAAAGGTTCCACACTGTGAGTTGAATGCAGACATCACGAAGAAGGTTCTGAGAATGCTTCTGTTTAGTCAGCTGAAATTATCCCGTTTCCAACGAATTCCTCAGAGAGGTCCAAATATGCACTTGCAGATTCTGCAGAAAGTGTGTTTCTAAACTGCTACATCGCAAGGAATGTTCAGCTCTGTGAGTTCCACTCAATCATCCCAAAGAATTTTCTGAGAAAGCTTCTGTCTAGATGTCGTGTGAAAGATATACCCGTTTCGAACGAAGGACACAGAGTGGTCCAAATATCCACTTGTAGATCCTGCAAAAAGAGTGTTTCAAACGTGAACTTTGAAAGGAAAGTTCAACTCTGGGATTTGAATGCAAACATCACAAAGAAGATTCTGAGACTGCTTCTGTATAGTTTTTATGTGAAGATGATTCCGTTTCCAACGAAATCTTCAAAGAGGTCTACATGTCCCCTTGCAGATGCCACAGAAAGAGAGTTTCAAAACTGCGCTCTCAAAAGGAGTGTTCAACTCCGTGAGTTGAATGCAGTCATCACAGAGAAGCTTCTGAGAATGCTTCTATCTAGTATTTAGGTGAAGATATTTCCTTTTCCACCACAAACCACAAAGCCCTCCAAACGTCCACTTGCAGATTCTAGAAAAAGAGTGTTTCATAGCTGCTCTTTCCAAAGGAAAGTTCAACTCTGGGAGTTGAATACAAACATCACCAAAAAGTTCCTGAGAATGCATCTGTCTAGTTTTTCTATGAAGCTATTCCCTTTACTACCACAGGCCTCAAAGCGCTCCAAATCTCCACTTGCACATTCCACAACAAGAGTGTTTCCAAACTGCTCTATCAATAGGAATGTTCAACTCTGTGAGGTGAATGCAATCATCACAAAGCAGTTTCTGAGAATGCTTCCGTTTAGTTAGGTGCAGTTATCCCGTTTCCAACGAAATCCTCAGAGAGGTCCAAATATCCACTTGTAGATTCTACAAAAAGTGTGTCTCAAACCTGCTCCATCCAAAGGAATGGTCAGCTCTGTGATTTAAACTCAATCATCACAAAGTATTTTCTGAGAATGCTTCTGTCTAGATTTTATGCGAAGATATACCCGTTTCGAACGAAGGCCACAGAGTGGTCCAAATAGCCACTTGCAGATCCTACAGAAAGAGTGTTTCAAACCTGAACTATCAAAGGAAGGTTCAACTCTGGGATTTGAATGCAAACATCACCAAGAAGTTTCTGAGAATGCTTCTGTTTAGTTTTTATGTGAAGATATTCCCGTTTCCAAAGAACATCTTCGGAGAGGTCCACATATCCACTTGCAGATTCCACAAAAAGAGAGTTTCAACACTGCTCTATCCATAGGAGGGTTCAACTCTGTGAGTTGAATGCAGTCATCACAGAGAAGTTTCTGAGAAGGCTTCTCTCCAGTTTTTATGTGACCATAATTCGTTTTCCACCACAGGCCTGAAAGCGCTCCAAATGTCCACTTGCAGACACTACGAAAAGCATGTTTCAGAACTACTCTATGAAAAGCAACGTGAAACTCTGGGAGTTGAACACAAACATCACAGAGAAGTTTCTGAGAATGCTTCTGTTTAGCTTTCCTGTGAAGATTCTCCCGTTTCCAACGAAATCTTCAAAATAGGTCCAAATATCCACTTGCAGATTCCACACAAAGAGTGATTGGAAACTGCTCTTTGAAAAGGAACCTTCAACTCTGTGAGTTGAATGCAATCATCACAAAGAAGTTTCTGACAATGCTTCTATCTAGCTTTTACGGGAAGATAATTCCTTTTCCACCCCAGGCCTCAAAGCTCCCCAAATGTCCACTTGCACATTCTGGAAAAAGAGTGTTTCAAAGCTTCTCTCTCGAAAGGAAAGTTCAACTCTGTGAGTTGAATGCAAGCATCACAAAGAAGTTTCTGAGAATGCTACTGTCTAGCTTTTATATGAAGCTATTTCCTTTACTACCATAGGCCTCAAAGCGGTCCATATCTCCACTTGCAGATTCTACACAAAGAGAGTTTCCAAACTGCTCTGTCAAAGGGAATGTTCAACTCTGTGACTTGAATGCAATCATCACAAAGTAGTTTCTGAGAATGCTTCTGTTTTAGTTCTGTGCGGTTTATCCCGTTTCCAACGAAATCCTCAGAGAGGCCCAAATATCCACTTGCAGATTCTTCAAAGAGTGTGTTTCGAAACTGCTCCATCCAAAGGAATGTTCAGCTCTGTGAGTTAAACTCAGTCGTCACCAAGAGTTTTCTGTGAATGCTTCTGTTTAGTTCTGTGCGGTTTATCCCGTTTCCAACGAAATCCTCAGAGAGCACCAAATATCCACTTGCAGTTTCTACAAAAAGAGTGTTTCAAAGCTGAACTATCAAAGAAAGGTTCAGCACTGTGAGTTGAATGCAAACATCACGAAGAAGGTTCTGAGAATGCTTCTGTTTAGTTCTGTGCAGTTTATCCCGTTTCCAACGAATTCCTCAGAGAGGACCAAATATCCACTTGCAGTTTCTACAAAAAGAGTGTTTCAAAGCTGAACTATCAAAGAAAGGTTCAGCACTGTGAGTTGAATGCAAACATCACGAAGAGGGTTCTGAGAATGCTTCTGTCTTCTTTCTATAGGAAGTTATTTCCTTTACTACGGTAGGCCTCAAAGAAGTGCAATTATCCCCTTGCAGTTTCTACAAAAAGAGTGTTTCAAACCTGAACTATCAAAGAAAGGTTCCACACTGTGAGTTGAATGCAGACATCACGAAGAAGGTTCTGAGAATGCTTCTGTTTAGTCAGCTGAAATTATCCCGTTTCCAACGAATTCCTCACAGAGGTCCAAATATGCACTTGCAGATTCTGCAGAAAGTGTGTTTCTAAACTGCTACATCGCAAGGAATGTTCAGCTCTGTGAGTTCAACTCAATCATCCCAAAGAATTTTCTGAGAAAGCTTCTGTCTAGATGTCATGTGAAGATATACCCGTTTCGAACGAAGGACACAGAGTGGTCCAAATATCCACTTGTAGATCCTGCAAAAAGAGTGTTTCAAACGTGAACTTTGAAAGGAAAGTTCAACTCTGGGATTTGAATGCAAACATCACAAAGAAGATTCTGAGACTGCTTCTGTATAGTTTTTATGTGAAGATGATTCCGTTTCCAACGAAATCTTCAAAGAGGTCTTCATGTCCCCTTGTAGATGCCACAGAAAGAGAGTTTCAAAACTGCGCTCTCAAAAGGAGTGTTCAACTCCGTGAGTTGAATGCAGTCATCACAGAGAAGCTTCTGAGAATGCTTCTATCTAGTATTTAGGTGAAGATATTTCCTTTTCCACCACAAACCACAAAGCCCTCCAAACGTCCACTTGCAGATTCTAGAAAAAGAGTGTTTCATAGCTGCTCTTTCCAAAGGAAAGTTCAACTCTGGGAGTTGAATACAAACATCACCAAAAAGTTCCTGAGAATGCATCTGTCTAGTTTTTCTATGAAGCTATTCCCTTTACTACCACAGGCCTCAAAGCGCTCCAAATCTCCACTTGCACATTCCACAACAAGAGTGTTTCCAAACTGCTCTATCAATAGGAATGTTCAACTCTGTGAGGTGAATGCAATCATCACAAAGCAGTTTCTGAGAATGCTTCCGTTTAGTTAGGTGCAGTTATCCCGTTTCCAACGAAATCCTCAGAGAGGTCCAAATATCCACTTGTAGATTCTACAAAAAGTGTGTCTCAAACCTGCTCCATCCAAAGGAATGTTCAGCTCTGTGATTTAAACTCAATCATCACAAAGTATTTTCTGAGAATGCTTCTGTCTAGATTTTATGCGAAGATATACCCGTTTCGAACGAAGGCCACAGAGTGGTCCAAATAGCCACTTGCAGATCCTACAGAAAGAGTGTTTCAAACCTGAACTATCAAAGGAAGGTTCAACTCTGGGATTTGAATGCAAACATCACCAAGAAGTTTCTGAGAATGCTTCTGTTTAGTTTTTATGTGAAGATATTCCCGTTTCCAAAGACATCTTCGGAGAGGTCCACATATCCACTTGCAGATTCCACAAAAAGAGAGTTTCAACACTGCTCTATCCATAGGGAGGGTTCAACTCTGTGAGTTGAATGCAATCATCACAGAGAAGTTTCTGAGAAGGCTTCTCTCCATTTTTATGTGACCATAATTCGTTTTCCACCACAGGCCTGAAAGCGCTCCAAATGTCCACTTGCAGACACTACGAAAAGCATGTTTCAGAACTACTCTATGAAAAGCAACGTGAAACTCTGGGAGTTGAACACAAACATCACAGAGAAGTTTCTGAGAATGCTTCCGTTTAGCTTTTCTGTGAAGATTCTCCCGTTTCCAACGAAATCTTCAAAGAGGTCCAAATATCCACTTGCAGATTCCACAGAAAGAGTGTTTGGAAACTGCTGTTTGAAAAGGAACATTCAACTCTGTGAGTTGAATGCAATCCTCACAAAGAAGTTTCTGACAATGCTTCTATCTAGCTTTTACGGGAAGTTAATTCCTTTTCCACCACAGGCCTCAAAGCCCTCCAAATGTCCACTTGCAGATTCTGGAAAAAGAGTGTTTCAAAGCTTCTCTCTCGAAAGGAAAGTTCAACTCTGTGAGTTGAATGCAAGCATCACAAAGAAGTTTCTGAGAATGCTACTGTCTAGCTTTTATATGAAGCTATTTCCTTTACTACCATAGGCCTCAAAGCGGTCCATATCTCCACTTGCAGATTCTACACAAAGAGAGTTTCCAAACTGCTCTGTCAAAGGGAATGTTCAACTCTGTGACTTGAATGCAATCATCACAAAGTAGTTTCTGAGAATGCTTCTGTTTTAGTTCTGTGCGGTTTATCCCGTTTCCAACGAAATCCTCAGAGAGGCCCAAATATCCACTTGCACATTCTACAAAGAGTGTGTTTCGAAACTGCTCCATCCAAAGGAATGTTCAGCTCTGTGAGTTAAACTCAGTCGTCACCAAGAGTTTTCTGTGAATGCTTCTGTTTAGTTCTGTGCGGTTTATCCCGTTTCCAACGAAATCCTCAGAGAGGACCAAATATCCACTTGCAGTTTCTACAAAAAGAGTGTTTCAAAGCTGAACTATCAAAGAAAGGTTCAGCACTGTGAGTTGAATGCAAACATCACGAAGAAGGTTCTGAGAATGCTTCTGTCTTCTTTTTATAGGAAGTTATTTCCTTTACTACGGTAGACCTGAAAGAAGTGCAATTATCCCCTTGCAGTTTCTACAAAAAGAGTGTTTCAAACCTGAACTATCAAAGAAAGGTTCCACACTGTGAGTTGAATGCAGACATCACGAAGAAGGTTCTGAGAATGCTTCTGTTTAGTCAGCTGAAATTATCCCGTTTCCAACGAATTCCTCAGAGAGGTCCAAATATGCACTTGCAGATTCTGCAGAAAGTGTGTTTCTAAACTGCTACATCGCAAGGAATGTTCAGCTCTGTGAGTTCCACTCAATCATCCCAAAGAATTTTCTGAGAAAGCTTCTGTCTAGATGTCGTGTGAAGATATACCCGTTTCGAACGAAGGACACAGAGTGGTCCAAATATCCACTTGTAGATCCTGCAAAAAGAGTGTTTCAAACGTGAACTTTGAAAGGAAAGTTCAACTCTGGGATTTGAATGCAAACATCACAAAGAAGATTCTGAGACTGCTTCTGTATAGTTTTGATGTGAGGATGATTCCGTTTCCAACGAAATCTTCAAAGAGGTCTACATGTCCCCTTGCAGATGCCACAGAAAGAGAGTTTCAAAACTGCGCTCTCAAAAGGAGTGTTCAACTCCGTGAGTTGAATGCAGTCATCACAGAGAAGCTTCTGAGAATGCTTCTATCTAGTATTTAGGTGAAGATATTTCCTTTTCCACCACAAACCACAAAGCCCTCCAAACGTCCACTTGCAGATTCTAGAAAAAGAGTGTTTCATAGCTGCTCTTTCCAAAGGAAAGTTCAACTCTGGGAGTTGAATACAAACATCACCAAAAGGTTCCTGAGAATGCATCTGTCTAGTTTTTCTATGAAGCTATTCCCTTTACTACCATAGGCCTCAAAGCGCTCCAAATCTCCACTTGCACATTCCACAACAAGAGTGTTTCCAAACTGCTCTATCAATAGGAATGTTCAACTCTGTGAGGTGAATGCAATCATCACAAAGCAGTTTCTGAGAATGCTTCCGTTTAGTTAGGTGCAGTTATCCCGTTTCCAACGAAATCCTCAGAGAGGGTCCAAATATCCACTTGTAGATTCTACAAAAAGTGTGTCTCAAACCTGCTCCATCCAAAGGAATGGTCAGCTCTGTGATTTAAACTCAATCATCACAAAGTATTTTCTGAGAATGCTTCTGTCTAGATTTTATGCGAAGATGTACCCGTTTTGAACGAAGGCCACAGAGTGGTCCAAATATCCACTTGCAGATCCTACAAAAAGTGTGTTTCAAACCTGAACTATCAAAGGAAGGTTCAACTCTGGGATTTGAATGCAAACATCACCAAGAAGTTTCTGAGAATGCTTCTGTTTAGTTTTTATGTGAAGATATTCCCGTTTCCAAAGACATCTTCGGAGAGGTCCACATATCCACTTGCAGATTCCACAAAAAGAGAGTTTCAACACTGCTCTATCCATAGGAGGGTTCAACTCTGTGAGTTGAATGCAATCATCACAGAGAAGTTTCTGAGAAGGCTTCTCTCCAGTTTTTATGTGACCATAATTCGTTTTCCACCACAGGCCTGAAAGCGCTCCAAATGTCCACTTGCAGACACTACGAAAAGCATGTTTCAGAACTACTCTATGAAAAGCAATGTGAAACTCTGGGAGTTGAACACAAACATCACAGAGAAGTTTCTGAGAATGCTTTCTGTTTAGCTTTTCTGTGAAGATTCTCCCGTTTCCAATGAAATCTTCAAAGAGGTCCAAATATCCACTTGCACATTCCACAGAAAGAGTGATTGGAAACTGCTGTTTGAAAAGGAACCTTCAACTCTGTGATTTGAATGCAATCATCACAAAGAAGTTTCTGACAATGCTTCCATCTAGCTTTTACGGGAAGATAATTCCTTTTCCACCACAGGCCTCAAAGCCCTCCAAATGTCCACTTGCAGATTCTGGAAAAAGAGTGTTTCAAACCTTCTCTCTCGAAAGGAAAGTTCAACTCTGTGAGTTGAATGCAAGCATCACAAAGAAGTTTCTGAGAATGCTACTGTCTAGCTTTTATATGAAGCTATTTCCTTTACTACCATAGGCCTCAAAGCGGTCCATATCTCCACTTGCAGATTCTACACAAAGAGAGTTTCCAAACTGCTCTGTCAAGGGGAATGTTCAACTCTGTGACTTGAATGCAATCATCACAAAGTAGTTTCTGAGAATGCTTCTGTTTAGTTCTGTGCGGTTTATCCCATTTCCAACGAAATCCTCAGAGAGGCCTAAATATCCACTTGCACATTCTACAAATAGTGTGTTTCGAAACTGCTCCATCCAAAGGAATGTTCAGCTCTGTGAGTTAAACTCAGTCGTCACCAAGAGTTTTCTGTGAATGCTTCTGTTTTAGTTCTGTGCAGTTTATCCCGTTTCCAACGAAATCCTCAGAGAGGTCCAAATATCTACTTGCAGTTTCTACAGAAAGACCGTTTCAAACCTGAACTATCAAAGAAAGGTTCAACACTGTGAGTTGAATGCAAACATCACGAAGAAGGTTCTGAGAATGCTTCTGTTTTAGTTCTGTGCGGTTTATCCCGTTTCCAACGAAATCCTCAGAGAGGACCAAACATCCACTTGCAGTTTCTACAAAAAGAGTGTTTCAAAGCTGCACTATCAAAGAAAGGTTCAGCACTGTGAGTTGAATGCAAACATCACGAAGAGGGCTCTGAGAATTCTTCTGTCTTCTTTTTATAGGAAGTTATTTCCTTTACTACGGTAGGCCTCAAAGAAGTGCAATTATCCCCTTGCAGTTTCTACAAAAAGAGTGATTCAAACCTGAACTATCAAAGAAAGGTTCCACACTGTGAGTTGAATGCAGACATCACGAAGAAGGTTCTGAGAATGCTTCTGTTTAGTCAGCTGAAATTATCCCGTTTCCAACGAATTCCTCAGAGAGGTCCAAATATGCACTTGCAGATTCTGCAGAAAGTGTGTTTCTAAACTGCTACATCGCAAGGAATGTTCAGCTCTGTGAGTTCAACTCAATCATCCCAAAGAATTTTCTGAGAAAGCTTCTGTCTAGATGTCGTGTGAAGATATACCCGTTTCGAACGAAGGACACAGAGTGGTCCAAATATCCACTTGTAGATCCTGCAAAAAGAGTGTTTCAAACGTGAACTTTGAAAGGAAAGTTCAACTCTGGGATTTGAATGCAAACATCACAAAGAAGATTCTGAGACTACTTCTGTATAGTTTTTATGTGAAGATGATTCCGTTTCCAACGAAATCTTCAAAGAGGTCTACATGTCCCCTTGCAGATGCCACAGAAAGGGAGTTTCAAAACTGCGCTCTCAAAAGGAGTGTTCAACTCCGTGAGTTGAATGCAGTCATCACAGAGAAGCTTCTGAGAAAGCTTCTATCTAGTATTTAGGTGAAGATATTTCCTTTTCCACCACAAACCACAAAGCCCTCCAAACGTCCACTTGCAGATTCTAGAAAAAGAGTGTTTCATAGCTGCTCTTTCCAAAGGAAAGTTCAACTCTGGGAGTTGAATACAAACATCACCAAAAAGTTCCTGAGAATGCATCTGTCTAGTTTTTCTATGAAGCTATTCCCTTTACTACCATAGACCTCAAAGCGCTCCAAATCTCCACTTGCACATTCCACAACAAGAGTGTTTCCAAACTGCTCTATCAATAGGAATGTTCAACTCTGTGAGGTGAATGCAATCATCACAAAGCAGTTTCTGAGAATGCTTCCGTTTAGTTAGGTGCAGTTATCCCGTTTCCAACGAAATCCTCAGAGAGGTCCAAATATCCACTTGTAGATTCTACAAAAAGTGTGTCTCAAACCTGCTCCATCCAAAGGAATGTTCAGCTCTGTGAGTTCAACTCAATCATCACAAAGTATTTTCTGAGAATGCTTCTGTCTAGATTTTATGCGAAGATGTACCCGTTTCGAACGAAGGCCACAGAGTGGTCCAAATATCCACTTGCAGATCCTACAAAAAGAGTGTTTCAAACCTGAACTCTCAAAGGAAGGTTCAACTCTGGGATTTGAATGCAAACATCACGAAGAAGTTTCTGAGAATGCTTCTGTTTAGTTTTTATGTGAAGATAGCCCCGTTTCCAAAGACATCTTCGGAGAGGTCCACATATCCACTTGCAGATTCCACAAAAAGAGAGTTTCAACACTGCTCTATCCATAGGACGGTTCAACTCTGTGAGTTGAATGCAATCATCACAGAGAAGTTTCTGAGAAGGCTTCTCTCCAGTTTTTATGTGACCATAATTCGTTTTCCACCACAGGCCTGAAAGCGCTCCAAATGTCCCCTTGCAGACACTACGAAAAGCATGTTTCAGAACTACTCTATGAGAAGCAATGTGACACTCTGGGAGTTGAACACAAACATCACAGAGAAGTTTCTGAGAATGCTTCTGTTTTAGTTCTGTGCGTTTTATCCCGTTTCCAACGAAATCCTCAGAGAGGCCCAAATATCCACTTGCAGATTCCACAGAAAGAGTGATTGGAAACTGCTGTTTGAAAAGGAACCTTCAACTCTGTGAGTTGAATGCAATCATCACAAAGAAGTTTCTGACAATGCTTCTATCTAGCTTTTACGGGAAGATAATTCCTTTTCCACCACAGGCCTCAAAGCCCTCCAAATGTCCACTTGCAGATTCTGGAAAAAGAGTGTTTCAAAGCTTCTCTCTCGAAAGGAAAGTTCAACTCTGTGAGTTGAATGCAAGCATCACAAAGAAGTTTCTGAGAATGCTACTGTCTAGCTTTTATATGAAGCTATTTCCTTTACTACCATAGTCCTCAAAGCATTCCATATCTCCACTTGCAGATTCTACACAAAGAGAGTTTCCAAACTGCTCTGTCAAAGGGAATGTTCAGCTCTGTGACTTGAATAAAATCATCACAAAGTAGTTTCTCAGAATGCTTCTGTTTTAGTTCTGTGCGGTTTATCCCGTTTCCAACGAAATCCTCAGAGAGGCCCAAATATCCACTTGCACATTCTACAAAGAGTGTGTTTCGAAACTGCTCCATCCAAAGGAATGTTCAGCTCTGTGAGTTAAACTCAGTCGTCACCAAGAGTTTTCTGTGAATGCTTCTGTTTAGTTCTGTGCGGTTTATCCCGTTTCCAACGAAATCCTCAGAGAGGACCAAATATCCACTTGCAGTTTCTACAAAAAGAGTGTTTCAAAGCTGAACTATCAAAGAAAGGTTCAGCACTGTGAGTTGAATGCAAACATCACGAAGAAGGTTCTGAGAATGCTTCTGTCTTCTTTCTATAGGAAGTTATTTCCTTTACTACGGTAGGCCTCAAAGAAGTGCAATTATCCCCTTGCAGTTTCTACAAAAAGAGTGTTTCAAACCTGAACTATCAAAGAAAGGTTCCACACTGTGAGTTGAATGCAGACATCACGAAGAAGGTTCTGAGAATGCTTCTGTTTAGTCAGCTGAAATTATCCCGTTTCCAACGAATTCCTCAGAGAGGTCCAAATATGCACTTGCAGATTCTGCAGAAAGTGTGTTTCTAAACTGCTACATCGCAAGGAATGCTCAGCTGCTGTGAGTTCAAGTCAATCATCCCAAACAATTTTCTGAGAAAGCTTCTGTCTAGATGTCATGTGAAGATATACCCGTTTCGAACGAAGGACACAGAGTGGTCCAAATATCCACTTGTAGATCCTGCAAAAAGAGTGTTTCAAACGTGAACTTTGAAAGGAAAGTTCAACTCTGGGATTTGAATGCAAACATCACAAAGAAGATTCTGAGACTGCTTCTGTATAGTTTTGATGTGAAGATGATTCCGTTTCCAACGAAATCTTCAAAGAGGTCTACATGTCCCCTTGCAGATGCCACAGAAAGGGAGTTCCAAAACTGCGCTCTCAAAAGGAGTGTTCAACTCCGTGAGTTGAATGCAGTCATCACAGAGAAGCTTCTGAGAATGCTTCTATCTAGTATTTAGGTGAAGATATTTCCTTTTCCACTACAAACCACAAAGCCCTCCAAACGTCCACTTGCAGATGCTAGAAAAAGAGTGTTTCATAGCTGCTCTTTCCAAAGGAAAGTTCAACTCTGGGAGTTGAATACAAACATCACCAAAAAGTTCCTGAGAATGCATCTGTCTAGTTTTTCTATGAAGCTATTCCCTTTACTACCATAGGCCTCAAAGCGCTCCAAATCTCCACTTGCACATTCCACAACAAGAGTGTTTCCAAACTGCTCTATCAATAGGAATGTTCAACTCTGTGAGGTGAAATGCAATCATCACAAAGCAGTTTCTGAGAATGCTTCCGTTTAGTTAGGTGCAGTTATCCCGTTTCCAACGAAATCCTCAGAGAGGTCCAAATATCCACTTGTAGATTCTACAAAAAGTGTGTCTCAAACCTGCTCCATCCAAAGGAATGGTCAGCTCTGTGATTTAAACTCAATCATCACAAAGTATTTTCTGAGAATGCTTCTGTCTAGATTTTATTCGAAGATGTACCCGTTTCGAACGAAGGCCACAGAGTGGTCCAAATATCCACTTGCAGATCCTACAAAAAGAGTGTTTCAAACCTGAACTCTCAAAGGAAGTTTCACCTCTGGGATTTGAATGCAAACATCACCAAGAAGTTTCTGAGAATGCTTCCGTTTAGTTTTTATGTGAAGATATTCCCGTTTCCAAAGACTTCTTCGGAGAGGTCCACATATCCACTTGCAGATTCCACAAAAAGAGAGTTTCAACACTGCTCTATCCATAGGAGGGTTCAACTCTGTGAGTTGAATGCAATCATCACAGAGACGTTTCTGAGAAGGCTTCTCTCCAGTTTTTATGTGACCATAATTCGTTTTCCACCACAGGCCTGAAAGCGCTCCAAATGTCCACTTGCAGACACTACGAAAAGCATGTTTCAGAACTACTCTATGAAAAGCAACGTGAAACTCTGGGAGTTGAATACAAACATCACAGAGAAGTTTCTGAGAATGCTTCTGTTTAGCTTTTCTGTGAAGATTCTCCCGTTTCCAACGAAATCTTCAAAGAGGTCGAAATATCCACTTGCAGATTCCACAGAAAGAGTGATTGGAAACTGCTGTTTGAAAAGGAACCTTCAACTCTGTGAGTTGAATGCAATCATCACAAAGAAGTTTCTGACAATGCTTCTATCTAGCTTTTACGGGAAGATAATTCCTTTTCCACCACAGGCCTCAAAGCCCTCCAAATGTCCACTTGCAGATTCTGGAAAAAGAGTGTTTCAAAGCTTCTCTCTCGAAAGGAAAGTTCAACTCTGTGAGTTGAATGCAAGCATCACAAAGAAGTTTCTGAGGATGCTACTGTCTAGGTTTTATATGAAGCTATTTCCTTTACTACCATAGGCCTCAAAGCGGTCCATGTCTCCACTTGCAGATTCTACACAAAGAGAGTTTCCAAACTGCTCTGTCAAAGGGAATGTTCAGCTCTGTGACTTGAATGCAATCATCACAAAGTAGTTTCTGAGAATGCTTCTGTTTAGTTCTGTGCGGTTTATCCCGTTTCCAACGAAATCCTCACAGAGGCCCACATATCCACTTGCACATTCTACAAATACTGTGTTTCGAAACTGCTCCATCCAAAGGAATGTTCAGTTCTGTGAGTTAAACTCAGTCGTCACCAAGAGTTTTCTGTGAATGCTTCTGTTTTAGTTCTGTGCGGGTTATCCCGTTTCCAACGAAATCCTCAGAGAGGTCCAAATATCTACTTGCAGTTTCTACAGAAAGACCGTTTCAAACCTGAACTATCAAAGAAAGGTTCAACACTGTGAGTTGAATGCAAACATCACGAAGAAGGTTCTGAGAATGCTTCTGTTTAGTTCTGTGCGGTTTATCCCGTTTCCAACGAAATCCTCAGAGAGGACCAAATATCCACTTGCAGTTTCTACAAGAAGAGTGTTTCAAAGCTGAACTATCAAAGAAAGGTTCAGCACTGTGAGTTGAATGCAAACATCACGAAGAGGGTTCTGAGAATGCTTCTGTCTTCTTTCTATAGGAAGTTATTTCCTTTACTACGGTAGGCCTCAAAGAAGTGCAATTATCCCCTTGCAGTTTCTACAAAAAGAGTGTTTCAAACCTGAACTATCAAAGAAAGGTTCCACACTGTGAGTTGAATGCAGACATCACGAAGAAGGTTCTGAGAATGCTTCTGTTTAGTCAGCTGAAATTATCCCGTTTCCAACGAATTCCTCAGAGAGGTCCAAATATGCACTTGCAGATTCTGCAGAAAGTGTGTTTCTAAACTGCTACATCGCAAGGAATGTACAGCTCTGTGAGTTCCACTCAATCATCCCAAAGAATTTTCTGAGAAAGCTTCTGTCTAGATGTCCTGTGAAGATATACCCGTTTCGAACGAAGGACACAGAGTGGTCCAAATATCCACTTGTAGATCCTGCAAAAAGAGTGTTTCAAACGTGAACTTTGAAAGGAAAGTTCAACTCTGGGATTTGAATGCAAACATCACAAAGAAGATTCTGAGACTGCTTCTGTATAGTTTTTATGTGAAGATGATTCCGTTTCCAACGAAATCTTCAAAGAGGTCTACATGTCCCCTTGCAGATGCCACAGAAAGAGAGTTTCAAAACTGCGCTCTCAAAAGGAGTGTTCAACTCCGTGAGTTGAATGCAGTCATCACAGAGAAGCTTCTGAGAATGCTTCTATCTAGTATTTAGGTGAAGATATTTCCTTTTCCACCACAAACCACAAAGCCCTCCAAACGTCCACTTGCAGATTCTAGAAAAAGAGTGTTTCATAGCTGCTCTTTCCAAAGGAAAGTTCAACTCTGGGAGTTGAATACAAACATCACCAAAAAGTTCCTGAGAATGCATCTGTCTAGTTTTTCTATGAAGCTATTCCCTTTACTACCATAGGCCTCAAAGCGCTCCAAATCTCCACTTGCACATTCCACAACAAGAGTGTTTCCAAACTGCTCTATCAATAGGAATGTTCAACTCTGTGAGGTGAATGCAATCATCACAAAGCAGTTTCTGAGAATGCTTCCGTTTAGTTAGGTGCAGTTATCCCGTTTCCAACGAAATCCTCAGAGAGGTCCAAATATCCACTTGTAGATTCTACAAAAAGTGTGTCTCAAACCTGCTCCATCCAAAGGAATGGTCAGCTCTGTGATTTAAACTCAATCATCACAAAGTATTTTCTGAGAATGCTTCTGTCTAGATTTTATGCGAAGATATACCCGTTTCGAACGAAGGCCACAGAGTGGTCCAAATAGCCACTTGCAGATCCTACAGAAAGAGTGTTTCAAACCTGAACTATCAAAGGAAGGTTCAACTCTGGGATTTGAATGCAAACATCACCAAGAAGTTTCTGAGAATGCTTCTGTTTAGTTTTTATGTGAAGATATTCCCGTTTCCAAAGACATCTTCGGAGAGGTCCACATATCCACTTGCAGATTCCACAAAAAGAGAGTTTCAACACTGCTCTATCCATAGGAGGGTTCAACTCTGTGAGTTGAATGCAATCATCACAGAGAAGTTTCTGAGAAGGCTTCTCTCCAGTTTTTATGTGACCATAATTCGTTTTCCACCACAGGCCTGAAAGCGCTCCAAATGTCCACTTGTAGACACTACGAAAAGCATGTTTCAGAACTACTCTATGAAAAGCAATGTGAAACTCTGGGAGTTGAACACAAACATCACAGAGAAGTTTCTGAGAATGCTTCTGTTTTAGTTCTGTGCGTTTTATCCCGTTTCCAACGAAATCCTCAGAGAGGCCCAAATATCCACTTGCAGATTCCACAGAAAGAGTGATTGGAAACTGCTGTTTGAAAAGGAACCTTCAACTCTGTGAGTTGAATGCAATCATCACAAAGAAGTTTCTGACAATGCTTCTATCTAGCTTTTACGGGAAGATAATTCCTTTTCCACCACAGGCCTCAAAGCTCCCCAAATGTCCACTTGCACATTCTGGAAAAAGAGTGTTTCAAAGCTTCTCTCTCGAAAGGAAAGTTCAACTCTGTGAGTTGAATGCAAGCATCACAAAGAAGTTTCTGAGAATGCTACTGTCTAGCTTTTATATGAAGCTATTTCCTTTACTACCATAGTCCTCAAAGCATTCCATATCTCCACTTGCAGATTCTACACAAAGAGAGTTTCCAAACTGCTCTGTCAAAGGGAATGTTCAGCTCTGTGACTTGAATGCAATCATCACAAAGTAGTTTCTCAGAATGGTTCTGTTTAGTTCTGTGCGGTTTATCCCGTTTCCAACGAAATCCTCAGAGAGTCCCAAATATCCACTTGCGCATTCTACAAATAGTGTGTTTCGAAACTGCTCCATCCAAAGGAATGTTCAGCTCTGTGAGTTAAACTCAGTCGTCACCAAGAGTTTTCTGTGAATGCTTCTGTTTTAGTTCTGTGCGGTTTATCCCGTTTCCAACGAAATCCTCAGAGAGGTCCAAATATCTACTTGCAGTTTCTACAGAAAGACCGTTTCAAACCTGAACTATCAAAGAAAGGTTCAACACTGTGAGTTGAATGCAAACATCACGAAGAAGGTTCTGAGAATGCTTCTGTTTAGTTCTGTGCGGTTTATCCCGTTTCCAACGAAATCCTCAGAGAGGACCAAATATCCACTTGCAGTTTCTACAAAAAGAGTGTTTCAAAGCTGAACTATCAAAGAAAGGTTCAGCACCGTGAGTTGAATGCAAACATCACGAAGAGGGTTCTGAGAATGCTTCTGTCTTCTTTCTATAGGAAGTTATTTCCTTTACTACGGTAGGCCTCAAAGAAGTGCAATTATCCCCTTGCAGTTTCTACAAAAAGAGTGTTTCAAACCTGAACTATCAAAGAAAGGTTCCACACTGTGAGTTGAATGCAGACATCACGAAGAAGGTTCTGAGAATGCTTCTGTTTAGTCAGCTGAAATTATCCCGTTTCCAACGAATTCCTCAGAGAGGTCCAAATATGCACTTGCAGATTCTGCAGAAAGTGTGTTTCTAAACTGCTACATCGCAAGGAATGTTCAGCTCTGTGAGTTCCACTCAATCATCCCAAAGAATTTTCTGAGAAAGCTTCTGTCTAGATGTCATGTGAAGATATACCCGTTTCGAACGAAGGACACAGAGTGGTCCAAATATCCACTTGTAGATCCTGCAAAAAGAGTGTTTCAAACGTGAACTTTGAAAGGAAAGTTCAACTCGGGGATTTGAATGCAAACATCACAAAGAAGATTCTGAGACTGCTTCTGTATAGTTTTTATGTGAAGATGATTCCGTTTCCAACGAAATCTTCAAAGAGGTCTACATGTCCCCTTGCAGATGCCACAGAAAGAGAGTTTCAAAACTGCGCTCTCAAAAGGAGTGTTCAACTCCGTGAGTTGAATGCAGTCATCACAGAGAAGCTTCTGAGAATGCTTCTATCTAGTATTTAGGTGAAGATATTTCCTTTTCCACCACAAACCACAAAGCCCTCCAAACGTCCACTTGCAGATTCTAGAAAAAGAGTGTTTCATAGCTGCTCTTTCCAAAGGAAAGTTCAACTCTGGGAGTTGAATACAAACATCACCAAAAAGTTCCTGAGAATGCATCTGTCTAGTTTTTCTATGAAGCTATTCCCTTTACTACCATAGGCCTCAAAGCGCTCCAAATCTCCACTTGCACATTCCACAACAAGAGTGTTTCCAAACTGCTCTATCAATAGGAATGTTCAACTCTGTGAGGTGAATGCAATCATCACAAAGCAGTTTCTGAGAATGCTTCCGTTTAGTTAGGTGCAGTTATCCCGTTTCCAACGAAATCCTCAGAGAGGTCCAAATATCCACTTGTAGATTCTACAAAAAGTGTGTCTCAAACCTGCTCCATCCAAAGGAATGTTCAGCTCTGTGAGTTCAACTCAATCATCACAAAGTATTTTCTGAGAATGCTTCTGTCTAGATTTTATGCGAAGATATACCCGTTTCGAACGAAGGCCACAGAGTGGTCCAAATAGCCACTTGCAGATCCTACAGAAAGAGTGTTTCAAACCTGAACTATCAAAGGAAGGTTCAACTCTGGGATTTGAATGCAAACATCACCAAGAAGTTTCTGAGAATGCTTCTGTTTAGTTTTTATGTGAAGATATTCCCGTTTCCAAAGACATCTTCGGAGAGGTCCACATATCCACTTGCAGATTCCACAAAAAGAGAGTTTCAACACTGCTCTATCCATAGGAGGGTTCAACTCTGTGAGTTGAATGCAATCATCACAGAGAAGTTTCTGAGAAGGCTTCTCTCCAGTTTTTATGTGACCATAATTCGTTTTCCACCACAGGCCTGAAAGCGCTCCAAATGTCCACTTGCAGACACTACGAAAAGCATGTTTCAGAACTACTCTATGAAAAGCAACGTGAAACTCTGGGAGTTGAACACAAACATCACAGAGAAGTTTCTGAGAATGCTTCTGTTTAGCTTTTCTGTGAAGATTCTCCCGTTTCCAACGAAATCTTCAAAGAGGTCCAAATATCCACTTGCAGATTCCACAGAAAGAGTGTTTGGAAACTGCTGTTTGTAAAGGAACCTTCATCTCCGTGAGTTGAATGCAATCATCACAAAGAAGTTTCTGACAATGCTTCTATCTAGCTTTTACGGGAAGATAATTCCTTTTCCACCACAGGCCTCAAAGCCCTCCAAATGTCCACTTGCAGATTCTGGAAAAAGAGTGTTTCAAAGCTTCTCTCTCGAAAGGAAAGTTCAACTCTGTGAGTTGAATGCAAGCATCACAAAGAAGTTTCTGAGAATGCTACTGTCTAGCTTTTATATGAAGCTATTTCCTTTACTACCATAGGCCTCAAAGCGGTCCATATCTCCACTTGCAGATTCTACACAAAGAGAGTTTCCAAACTGTTCTGTCAAAGGGAATGTTCAACTCTGTGACTTGAATGCAATCATCACAAAGTAGTTTCTGAGAATGCTTCTGTTTTAGTTCTGTGCGGTTTATCCCGTTTCCAACGAAATCCTCAGAGAGGCCCAAATATCCACTTGCAGATTCTACAAATAGTGTGTTTCGAAACTGCTCCATCCAAAGGAATGTTCAGCTCTGTGAGTTAAACTCAGTCGTCACCAAGAGTTTTCTGTGAATGCTTCTGTTTTAGTTCTGTGCGGTTTATCCCGTTTCCAACGAAATCCTCAGAGAGGTCCAAATATCTACTTGCAGTTTCTACAGAAAGACCGTTTCCAACCTGAACTATCAAAGAAAGGTTCAACACTGTGAGTTGAATGCAAACATCACGAAGAAGGTTCTGAGAATGCTTCTGTTTTAGTTCTGTGCGGTTTATCCCGTTTCCAACGAAATCCTCAGAGAGGACCAAACATCCACTTGCAGTTTCTACAAAAAGAGTGTTTCAAAGCTGCACTATCAAAGAAAGGTTCAGCACTGTGAGTTGAATGCAAACATCACGAAGAGGGCTCTGAGAATTCTTCTGTCTTCTTTCTATAGGAAGTTATTTCCTTTACTACGGTAGGCCTCAAAGAAGAGTAATTATCCCCTTGCAGTTTCTACAAAAAGAGTGTTTCAAACCTGAACTATCAAAGAAAGGTTCCACACTGTGAGTTGAATGCAGACATCACGAAGAAGGTTCTGAGAATGCTTCTGTTTAGTCAGCTGAAATTATCCCGTTTCCAACGAATTCCTCAGAGAGGTCCACATATGCACTTGCAGATTCTGCAGAAAGTGTGTTTCTAAACTGCTACATCGCAAGGAATGTTCAGATCTGTGAGTTCCACTCAATCATCCCAAAGAATTTTCTGAGAAAGCTTCTGTCTAGATGTCATGTGAAGATATACCCGTTTCGAACGAAGGACACAGAGTGGTCCAAATATCCACTTGTAGATCCTGCAAAAAGAGTGTTTCAAACGTGAACTTTGAAAGGAAAGTTCAACTCTGGGATTTGAATGCAAACATCACAAAGAAGATTCTGAGACTGCTTTCTGTATAGTTTTTATGTGAAGATGATTCCGTTTCCAACGAAATCTTCAAAGAGGTCTACATGTCCCCTTGCAGATGCCACAGAAAGAGAGTTTCAAAACTGCGCTCTCAAAAGGAGTGTTCAACTCCGTGAGTTGAATGCAGTCATCACAGAGAAGCTTCTGAGAATGCTTCTATCTAGTATTTAGGTGAAGATATTTCCTTTTCCACCACAAACCACAAAGCCCTCCAAACGTCCACTTGCAGATTCTAGAAAAAGAGTGTTTCATAGCTGCTCTTTCCAAAGGAAAGTTCAACTCTGGGAGTTGAATACAAACATCACCAAAAAGTTCCTGAGAATGCATCTGTCTAGTTTTTCTATGAAGCTATTCCCTTTACTACCATAGACCTCAAAGCGCTCCAAATCTCCACTTGCACATTCCACAACAAGAGTGTTTCCAAACTGCTCTATCAATAGGAATGTTCAACTCTGTGAGGTGAATGCAATCATCACAAAGCAGTTTCTGAGAATGCTTCCGTTTAGTTAGGTGCAGTTATCGCGTTTCCAACGACATCCTCAGAGAGGTCCAAATATCCACTTGTAGATTCTACAAAAAGTGTGTCTCAAACCTGCTCCATCCAAAGGAATGTTCAGCTCTGTGAGTTAAACTCAATCATCACAAAGTATTTTCTGAGAATGCTTCTGTCTAGATTTTATGTGAAGATGTACCCGTTTCGAACGAAGGCCACAGAGTGGTCCAAATATCCACTTGCAGATCCTACAAAAAGAGTGTTTCAAACCTGAACTATCACAGGAAAGTTCAACTCTGGGATTTGAATGCAAACATCACCAAGAAGTTTCTGAGAATGCTTCTGTTTAGTTTTTATGTGAAGATATTCCCGTTTCCAAAGACATCTTCGGAGAGGTCCACATATCCACTTGCAGATTCCACAAAAAGAGAGTTTCAACACTGCTCTATCCATAGGAGGGTTCAACTCTGTGAGTTGAATGCAATCATCACAGAGAAGTTTCTGAGAAGGCTTCTCTCCAGTTTTTATGTGACCATAATTCGTTTTCCACCACAGGCCTGAAAGCGCTCCAAATGTCCACTTGCAGACACTACGAAAAGCATGTTTCAGAACTACTCTATGAAAAGCAACGTGAAACTCTGGGAGTTGAACACAAACATCACAGAGAAGTTTCTGAGAATGCTTCTGTTTTAGTTCTGTGCGTTTTATCCCGTTTCCAACGAAATCCTCAGAGAGGCCCAAATATCCACTTGCAGATTCCACAGAAAGAGTGATTGGAAACTGCTGTTTGAAAAGGAACCTTCAACTCTGTGAGTTGAATGCAATCATCACAAAGAAGTTTCTGACAATGCTTCTATCTAGCTTTTACGGGAAGATAATTCCTTTTCCACCACAGGCCTCAAAGCCCTCCAAATGTCCACTTGCAGATTCTGGAAAAAGAGTGTTTCAAAGCTTCTCTCTCGAAAGGAAAGTTCAACTCTGTGAGTTGAATGCAAGCATCACAAAGAAGTTTCTGAGAATGCTACTGTCTAGCTTTTATATGAAGCTATTTCCTTTACTACCATAGGCCTCAAAGCGGTCCATATCTCCACTTGCAGATTCTACACAAAGAGAGTTTCCAAACTGCTCTGTCAAAGGGAATGTTCAACTCTGTGACTTGAATGCAATCATCACAAAGTAGTTTCTGAGAATGCTTCTGTTTTAGTTCTGTGCGGTTTATCCCATTTCCAACGAAATCCTCAGAGAGGCCTAAATATCCACTTGCAGATTCTACAAAGAGTGTGTTTCGAAACTGCTCCATCCAAAGGAATGTTCAGCTCTGTGAGTCAAACTCAGACGTCACCAAGAGTTTTCTGTGAATGCTTCTGTTTTAGTTCTGTGCGGTTTATCCCGTTTCCAACGAAATCCTCAGAGAGGTCCAAATATCTACTTGCAGTTTCTACAGAAAGACCGTTTCAAACCTGAACTATCAAAGAAAGGTTCAACACTGTGAGTTGAATGCAAACATCACGAAGAAGGTTCTGAGAATGCTTCTGTTTAGTTCTGTGCAGTTTATCCCGTTTCCAACGAAATCCTCAGAGAGGACCAAATATCCACTTGCAGTTTCTACAAGAAGAGTGTTTCAAAGCTGAACTATCAAAGAAAGGTTCAGCACTGTGAGTTGAATGCAAACATCACGAAGAGGGTTCTGAGAATGCTTCTGTCTTCTTTCTATAGGAAGTTATTTCCTTTACTACGGTAGGCCTCAAAGAAGTGCAATTATCACCTTGCAGTTTCTACAAAAAGAGTGTTTCAAACCTGAACTATCAAAGAAAGGTTCCACACTGTGAGTTGAATGCAGACATCACGAAGAAGGTTCTGAGAATGCTTCTGTTTAGTCAGCTGAAATTATCCCGTTTCCAACGAATTCCTCAGAGAGGTCCAAATATGCACTTGCAGATTCTGCAGAAAGTGTGTTTCTAAACTGCTACATCGCAAGGAATGTTCAGCTCTGTGAGTTCCACTCAATCATCCCAAAGAATTTTCTGAGAAAGCTTCTGTCTAGATGTCATGTGAAGATATACCCGTTTCGAACGGAGGACACAGAGTGGTCCAAATATCCACTTGTAGATCCTGCAAAAAGAGTGTTTCAAACGTGAACTTTGAAAGGAAAGTTCAACTCTGGGATTTGAATGCAAACATCACAAAGAAGATTCTGAGACTGCTTCTGTATAGTTTTTATGTGAAGATGATTCCGTTTCCAACGAAATCTTCAAAGAGGTCTACATGTCCCCTTGCAGATGCCACAGAAAGAGAGTTTCAAAACTACGCTCTCAAAAGGAGTGTTCAACTCCGTGAGTTGAATGCAGTCATCACAGAGAAGCTTCTGAGAATGCTTCTATCTAGTATTTAGGTGAAGATATTTCCTTTTCCACCACAAACCACAAAGCCCTCCAAACGTCCACTTGCAGATTCTAGAAAAACAGTGTTTCATAGCTGCTCTTTCCAAAGGAAAGTTCAACTCTGGGAGTTGAATACAAACATCACCAAAAAGTTCCTGAGAATGCATCTGTCTAGTTTTTCTATGAAGCTATTCCCTTTACTACCATAGGCCTCAAAGCGCTCCAAATCTCCACTTGCACATTCCACAACAAGAGTGTTTCCAAACTGCTCTATCAATAGGAATGTTCAACTCTGTGAGGTGAATGCAATCATCACAAAGCAGTTTCTGAGAATGCTTCCGTTTAGTTAGGTGCAGTTATCCCGTTTCCAACGAAATCCTCAGAGGAGGTCCAAATATCCACTTGTAGATTCTACAAAAAGTGTGTCTCAAACCTGCTCCATCCAAAGGAATGTTCAGCTCTGTGATTTAAACTCAATCATCACAAAGTATTTTCTGAGAATGCTTCTGTCTAGATTTTATGCGAAGATATACCCGTTTCGAACGAAGGCCACAGAGTGGTCCAAATAGCCACTTGCAGATCCTACAGAAAGAGTGTTTCAAACCTGAACTATCAAAGGAAGGTTCAACTCTGGGATTTGAATGCAAACATCACCAAGAAGTTTCTGAGAATGCTTCTGTTTAGTTTTTATGTGAAGATATTCCCGTTTCCAAAGACATCTTCGGAGAGGTCCACATATCCACTTGCAGATTCCACAAAAAGAGAGTTTCAACACTGCTCTATCCATAGGAGGGTTCAACTCTGTGAGTTGAATGCAATCATCACAGAGAAGTTTCTGAGAAGGCTTCTCTCCAGTTTTTATGTGACCATAATTCGTTTTCCACCACAGGCCTGAAAGCGCTCCAAATGTCCACTTGCAGACACTACGAAAAGCATGTTTCAGAACTACTCTATGAAAAGCAACGTGAAACTCTGGGAGTTGAACACAAACATCACAGAGAAGTTTCTGAGAATGCTTCTGTTTTAGTTCTGTGCGTTTTATCCCGTTTCCAACGAAATCCTCAGAGAGGCCCAAATATCCACTTGCAGATTCCACAGAAAGAGTGATTGGAAACTGCTGTTTGAAAAGGAACCTTCAACTCTGTGAGTTGAATGCAATCATCACAAAGAAGTTTCTGACAATGCTTCTATCTAGCTTTTACGGGAAGATAATTCCTTTTCCACCACAGGCCTCAAAGCCCTCCAAATGTCCACTTGCAGATTCTGGAAAAAGAGTGTTTCAAAGCTTCTCTCTCGAAAGGAAAGTTCAACTCTGTGAGTTGAATGCAAGCATCACAAAGAAGTTTCTGAGAATGCTGCTGTCTAGCTTTTATATGAAGCTATTTCCTTTACTACCATAGGCCTCAAAGCGGTCCATATCTCCACTTGCAGATTCTACGCAAAGAGAGTTTCCAAACTGCTCTGTCAAAGGGAATGTTCAACTCTGTGACTTGAATGCAATCATCACAAAGTAGTTTCTGAGAATGCTTCTGTTTAGTTCTGTGCGGTTTATCCCGTTTCCAACGAAATCCTCAGAGAGGCCCACATATCCACTTGCACATTCTACAAATAGTGTGTTTCGAAACTGCTCCATCCAAAGGAATGTTCAGCTCTGTGAGTTAAACTCAGTCGACACCAAGAGTTTTCTGTGAATGCTTCTGTTTTAGTTCTGTGCGGTTTATCCCGTTTCCAACGAAATCCTCAGAGAGGTCCAAATATCTACTTGCAGTTTCTACAGAAAGACCGTTTCAAACCTGAACTATCAAAGAAAGGTTCAACACTGTGAGTTGAATGCAAACATCACGAAGAAGGTTCTGAGAATGCTTCTGTTTAGTTCTGTGCGTTTTATCCCGTTTCCAACGAAATCCTCAGAGAGGACCAAATATTCACTTGCAGTTTCTACAAAAAGAGTGTTTCAAAGCTGAACTATCAAACAAAGGTTCAGCACTGTGAGTTGAATGCAAACATCACGAAGAGGGTTCTGAGAATGCTTCTGTCTTCTTTCTATAGGAAGTTATTTCCTTTACTACGGTAGGCCTCAAAGAAGTGCAATTATCCCCTTGCAGTTTCTACAAAAAGAGTGTTTCAAACCTGAACTATCAAAGAAAGGTTCCACACTGTGAGTTGAATGCAGACATCACGAAGAAGGTTCTGAGAATGCTTCTGTTTAGTCAGCTGAAATTATCCCGTTTCCAACGAATTCCTCAGAGAGGTCCAAATATGCACTTGCAGATTCTGCAGAAAGTGTGTTTCTAAACTGCTACATCGCAAGGAATGTTCAGCTCTGTGAGTTCCACTCAATCATCCCAAAGAATTTTCTGAGAAAGCTTCTGTCTAGATGTCGTGTGAAGATATACCCGTTTCGAACGAAGGACACAGAGTGGTCCAAATATCCACTTGTAGATCCTGCAAAAAGAGTGTTTCAAACGTGAACTTTGAAAGGAAAGTTCAACTCTGGGATTTGAATGCAAACATCACAAAGAAGATTCTGAGACTGCTTCTGTATAGTTTTTATGTGAAGATGATTCCGTTTCCAACGAAATCTTCAAAGAGGTCTACATGTCCCCTTGCAGATGCCACAGAAAGAGAGTTTCAAAACTGCGCTCTCAAAAGGAGTGTTCAACTCCGTGAGTTGAATGCAGTCATCACAGAGAAGCTTCTGAGGATGCTTCTGTCTAGTATTTAGGTGAAGATATTTCCTTTTCCACCACAAACCACAAAGCCCTCCAAACGTCCACTTGCAGATTCTAGAAAAAGAGTGTTTCATAGCTGCTCTTTCCAAAGGAAAGTTCAACTCTGGGAGTTGAATACAAACATCACCAAAAAGTTCCTGAGAATGCATCTGTCTAGTTTTTCTATGAAGCTATTCCCTTTACTACCATAGGCCTCAAAGCGCTCCAAATCTCCACTTGCACATTCCACAACAAGAGTGTTTCCAAACTGCTCTATCAATAGGAATGTTCAACTCTGTGAGGTGAATGCAATCATCACAAAGCAGTTTCTGAGAATGCTTCCGTTTAGTTAGGTGCAGTTATCCCGTTTCCAACGAAATCCTCAGAGAGGTCCAAATATCCACTTGTGGATTCTACAAAAAGTGTGTCTCAAGCCTGCTCCATCCAAAGGAATGTTCAGCTCTGTGAGTTAAACTCAATCATCACAAAGTATTTTCTGAGAATGCTTCTGTCTAGATTTTATGCGAAGATGTACCCGTTTCGAACCAAGGCCACAGAGTGGTCCAAATATCCACTTGCAGATCCTACAAAAAGAGTGTTTCAAACCTGAACTATCAAAGGAAGGTTCAACTCTGGGATTTGAATGCAAACATCACCAAGAAGTTTCTGAGAATGCTTCTGTTTAGTTTTTATGTGAAGATATTCCCGTTTCCAAAGACATCTTCGGAGAGGTCCACATATCCACTTGCAGATTCCACAAAAAGAGAGTTTCAACACTGCTCTATCCATAGGAGGGTTCAACTCTGTGAGTTGAATGCAATCATCACAGAGAAGTTTCTGAGAAGGCTTCTCTCCAGTTTTTATGTGACCATAATTCGTTTTCCACCACAGGCCTGAAAGCGCTCCAAATGTCCACTTGCAGACACTACGAAAAGCATGTTTCAGAACTACTCTATGAAAAGCAACGTGAAACTCTGGGAGTTGAACACAAACATCACAGAGAAGTTTCTGAGAATGCTTCTGTTTAGCTTTTCTGTGAAGATTCTCCCGTTTCCAACGAAATCTTCAAAGAGGTCCAAATATCCACTTGCAGATTCCACAGAAAGAGTGTTTGGAAACTGCTGTTTGTAAAGGAACCTTCATCTCTGTGAGTTGAATGCAATCATCACAAAGAAGTTTCTGACAATGCTTCTATCTAGCTTTTACGGGAAGTTAATTCCTTTTCCACCACAGGCCTCAAAGCCCTCCAAATGTCCACTTGCAGATTCTGGAAAAAGAGTGTTTCAAAGCTTCTCTCTCGAAAGGAAAGTTCAACTCTGTGAGTTGAATGCAAGCATCACAAAGAAGTTTCTGAGAATGCTACTGTCTAGCTTTTATATGAAGCTATTTCCTTTACTACCATAGGCCTCAAAGCGGTCCATATCTCCACTTGCAGATTCTACACAAAGAGAGTTTCCAAACTGCTCTGTCAAAGGGAATGTTCAACTCTGTGACTTGAATGCAATCGTCACAAAGTAGTTTCTGAGAATGCTTCTGTTTAGTTCTGTGCGGTTTATCCCGTTTCCAACGAAATCCTCAGAGAGGCCCAAATATCCACTTGCACATTCTACAAATAGTGTGTTTCGAAACTGCTCCATCCAAAGGAATGTTCAGCTCTGTGAGTTAAACTCAGTCGTCACCAAGAGTTTTCTGTGAATGCTTCTGTTTTAGTTCTGTGCGGGTTATCCCGTTTCCAACGAAATCCTCAGAGAGGTCCAAATATCTACTTGCAGTTTCTACAGAAAGACCGTTTCAAACCTGAACTATCAAAGAAAGGTTCAACACTGTGAGTTGAATGCAAACATCACGAAGAAGGTTCTGAGAATGCTTCTGTTTTAGTTCTGTGCGGTTTATCCCGTTTCCAACGAAATCCTCAGAGAGGACCAAACATCCACTTGCAGTTTCTACAAAAAGAGTGTTTCAAAGCTGCACTATCAAAGAAAGGTTCAGCACTGTGAGTTGAATGCAAACATCACGAAGAGGGCTCTGAGAATTCTCTGTCTTCTTTTTATAGCAAGTTATCTCCTTTACTACGGTAGGCCTCAAAGAAGTGCAATGATCCCCTTGCAGTTTCTACAAAAAGAGTGTTTCAAACCTGAACTATCAAAGAAAGGTTCCACACTGTGAGTTGAACGCAGACATCACGAAGAAGGTTCTGAGAATGCTTTCTGTTTAGTCAGCTGAAATTATCCCGTTTCCAACGAATTCCTCAGAGAGGTCCACATATGCACTTGCAGATTCTGCAGAAAGTGTGTTTCTAAACTGCTACATCACAAGGAGTGTTCAGCTCTGTTTGCTCAACTCAATCATCCCAAAGAATTTTCTGAGAAAGCTTCTGTCTAGATGTCATGTGAAGATATACCCGTTTCGAACGAAGGACACAGAGTGGTCCAAATATCCACTTGTAGATCCTGCAAAAAGAGTGTTTCAAACGTGAACTTGGAAAGGAAAGTTCAACTCAGGAATTTGAATGCAAACATCACAAAGAAGATTCTGAGACTGCTTCTGTATAGTTTTGATGTGAAGATGATTCCGTTTCCAACGAAATCTTCAAAGAGGTCTACATGTCCCCTTGCAGATGCCACAGAAAGAGAGTTTCAAAACTGCGCTCTCAAAAGGAGTGTTCAACTCCGTGAGTTGAATGCAGTCATCACAGAGAAGCTTCTGAGAATGCTTCTATCTAGTATTTAGGTGAAGATATTTCCTTTTCCACCACAAACCACAAAGCCCTCCAAACGTCCACTTGCAGATTCTAGAAAAAGAGTGTTTCATAGCTGCTCTTTCCAAAGGAAAGTTCAACTCTGGGAGTTGAATACAAACATCACCAAAAGGTTCCTGAAAATGCATCTGTCTAGTTTTTCTATGAAGCTATTCCCTTTACTACCATAGGCCTCAAAGCGCTCCAAATCTCCACTTGCACATTCCACAACAAGAGTGTTTCCAAACTGCTCTATCAATAGGAATGTTCAACTCTGTGAGGTGAATGCAATCATCACAAAGCAGTTTCTGAGAATGCTTCCGTTTAGTTAGGTGCAGTTATCCCGTTTCCAACGAAATCCTCAGAGAGGTCCAAATATCCACTTGTAGATTCTACAAAAAGTGTGTCTCAAACCTGCTCCATCCAAAGGAATGGTCAGCTCTGTGATTTAAACTCAATCATCACAAAGTATTTTCTGAGAATGCTTCTGTCTAGATTTTATGCGAAGATATACCCGTTTCGAACGAAGGCCACAGAGTGGTCCAAATAGCCACTTGCAGATCCTACAGAAAGAGTGTTTCAAACCTGAACTATCAAAGGAAGGTTCAACTCTGGGATTTGAATGCAAACATCACCAAGAAGTTTCTGAGAATGCTTCTGTTTAGTTTTTATGTGAAGATATTCCCGTTTCCAAAGACATCTTCGGAGAGGTCCACATATCCACTTGCAGATTCCACAAAAAGAGAGTTTCAACACTGCTCTATCCATAGGAGGGTTCAACTCTGTGAGTTGAATGCAATCATCACAGAGAAGTTTCTGAGAAGGCTTCTCTCCAGTTTTTATGTGACCATAATTCGTTTTCCACCACAGGCCTGAAAGCGCTCCAAATGTCCACTTGCAGACACTACGAAAAGCATGTTTCAGAACTACTCTATGAAAAGCAACGTGAAACTCTGGGAGTTGAACACAAACATCACAGAGAAGTTTCTGAGAATGCTTCTGTTTAGCTTTTCTGTGAAGATTCTCCCGTTTCCAACGAAATCTTCAAAGGAGGTCCAAATATCCACTTGCAGATTCCACAGAAAGAGTGATTGGAAACTGCTCTTTGAAAAGGAACCTTCAACTCTGTGACTTGAATGCAATCATCACAAAGAAGTCTCTGACAATGCTTCTATCTAGCTTTTACGGGAAGATAATTCCTTTTCCACCACAGGCCTCAAAGCCCTCCAAATGTCCACTTGCAGATTCTGGAAAAAGAGTGTTTCAAAGCTTCTCTCTCGAAAGGAAAGTTCAACTCTGTGAGTTGAATGCAAGCATCACAAAGAAGTTTCTGAGAATGCTACTGTCTAGCTTTTATATGAAGCTATTTCCTTTACTACCATAGGCCTCAAAGCGGTCCATATCTCCACTTGCAGATTCTACACAAAGAGAGTTTCCAAACTGCTCTGTCAAAGGGAATGTTCAACTCTGTGACTTGAATGCAATCATCACAAAGTAGTTTCTGAGAATGCTTCTGTTTAGTTCTGTGCGGTTTATCCCGTTTCCAGCGAAATCCTCAGAGAGGCCCAAATATCCACTTGCACATTCTACAAATAGTGTGTTTCGAAACTGCTCCATCCAAAGGAATGTTCAGCTCTGTGAGTTAAACTCAGTCGTCACCAAGAGTTTTCTGTGAATGCTTCTGTTTTGGTTCTGTGCGGTTTATCCCGTTTCCAACGAAATCCTCAGAGAGGTCCAAATATCTACTTGCAGTTTCTACAGAAAGACCGTTTCCAACCTGAACTATCAAAGAAAGGTTCAACACTGTGAGTTGAATGCAAACATCACGAAGAAGGTTCAGAGAATGCTTCTGTTTAGTTCTGTGCGGTTTATCCCGTTTCCAACGAAATCCTCAGAGAGGACCAAATATCCACTTGCAGTTTCTACAAGAAGAGTGTTTCAAAGCTGAACTATCAAAGAAAGGTTCAGCACTGTGAGTTGAATGCAAACATCACGAAGAGGGTTCTGAGAATGCTTCTGTCTTCTTTCTATAGGAAGTTATTTCCTTTACTACGGTAGGCCTCAAAGAAGTGCAATTATCCCCTTGCAGTTTCTACAAAAAGAGTGTTTCAAACCTGAACTATCAAAGAAAGGTTCCACACTGTGAGTTGAATGCAGACATCACGAAGAAGGTTCTGAGAATGCTTCTGTTTAGTCAGCTGAAATTATCCCGTTTCCAACGAATTCCTCAGAGAGGTCCAAATATGCACTTGCAGATTCTGCAGAAAGTGTGTTTCTAAACTGCTACATCGCAAGGAATGTTCAGCTCTGTGAGTTCCACTCAATCATCCCAAAGAATTTTCTGAGAAAGCTTCTGTCTAGATGTCGTGTGAAGATATACCCGTTTCGAACGAAGGACACAGAGTGGTCCAAATATCCACTTGTAGATCCTGCAAAAAGAGTGTTTCAAACGTGAACTTTGAAAGGAAAGTTCAACTCTGGGATTTGAATGCAAACATCACAAAGAAGATTCTGAGACTGCTTCTGTGTAGTTTTTATGTGAAGATGATTCCGTTTCCAACGAAATCTTCAAAGTAGGTCTACATGTCCCCTTGCAGATGCCACAGAAAGAGAGTTTCAAAACTGCGCTCTCAAAAGGAGTGTTCAACTCCGTGAGTTGAATGCAGTCATCACAGAGAAGCTTCTGAGGATGCTTCTATCTAGTATTTAGGTGAAGATATTTCCTTTTCCACCACAAACCACAAAGCCCTCCAAACGTCCACTTGCAGATTCTAGAAAAAGAGTGTTTCATAGCTGCTCTTTCCAAAGGAAAGTTCAACTCTGGGAGTTGAATACAAACATCACCAAAAAGTTCCTGAGAATGCATCTGTCTAGTTTTTCTATGAAGCTATTCCCTTTACTACCACAGGCCTCAAAGCGCTCCAAATCTCCACTTGCACATTCCACAACAAGAGTGTTTCCAAACTGCTCTATCAATAGGAATGTTCAACTCTGTGAGGTGAATGCAATCATCACAAAGCAGTTTCTGAGAATGCTTCCGTTTAGTTAGGTGCAGTTATCCCGTTTCCAACGAAATCCTCAGAGAGGTCCAAATATCCACTTGTAGATTCTACAAAAAGTGTGTCTCAAACCTGCTCCATCCAAAGGAATGTTCAGCTCTGTGAGTTCAACTCAATCATCACAAAGTATTTTCTGAGAATGCTTCTGTCTAGATTTTATGCGAAGATATACCCGTTTCGAACGAAGGCCACAGAGTGGTCCAAATAGCCACTTGCAGATCCTACAGAAAGAGTGTTTCAAACCTGAACTATCAAAGGAAGGTTCAACTCTGGGATTTGAATGCAAACATCACCAAGAAGTTTCTGAGAATGCTTCTGTTTAGTTTTTATGTGAAGATATTCCCGTTTCCAAAGACATCTTCGGAGAGGTCCACATATCCACTTGCAGATTCCACAAAAAGAGAGTTTCAACACTGCTCTATCCATAGGAGGGTTCAACTCTGTGAGTTGAATGCAATCATCACAGAGAAGTTTCTGAGAAGGCTTCTCTCCAGTTTTTATGTGACCATAATTCGTTTTCCACCACAGGCCTGAAAGCGCTCCAAATGTCCACTTGCAGACACTACGAAAAGCATGTTTCAGAACTACTCTATGAAAAGCAACGTGAAACTCTGGGAGTTGAACACAAACATCACAGAGAAGTTTCTGAGAATGCTTCTGTTTAGCTTTTCTGTGAAGATTCTCCCGTTTCCAACGAAATCTTCAAAGAGGTCGAAATATCCACTTGCAGATTCCACAGAAAGAGTGATTGGAAACTGCTGTTTGAAAAGGAACCTTCAACTCTGTGAGTTGAATGCAATCATCACAAAGAAGTTTCTGACAATGCTTCTATCTAGCTTTTACGGGAAGATAATTCCTTTTCCACCACAGGCCTCAAAGCCCTCCAAATGTCCACTTGCAGATTCTGGAAAAAGAGTGTTTCAAAGCTTCTCTCTCGAAAGGAAAGTTCAACTCTGTGAGTTGAATGCAAGCATCACAAAGAAGTTTCTGAGAATGCTACTGTCTAGCTTTTATATGAAGCTATTTCCTTTACTACCATAGGCCTCAAAGCGGTCCATATCTCCACTTGCAGATTCTACACAAAGAGAGTTTCCAAACTGCTCTGTCAAAGGGAATGTTCAACTCTGTGACTTGAATGCAATCATCACAAAGTAGTTTCTGAGAATGCTTCTGTTTAGTTCTGTGCGGTTTATCCCGTTTCCAACGAAATCCTCAGAGAGGCCCTAATATCCACTTGCACATTCTACAAATAGTGTGTTTCGAAACTGCTCCATCCAAAGGGATGTTCAGCTCTGTGAGTTAAACTCAGTCGTCACCAAGAGTTTTCTGTGAATGCTTCTGTTTTAGTTCTGTGCGGTTTATCCCGTTTCCAACGAAATCCTCAGAGAGGTCCAAATATCTACTTGCAGTTTCTACAGAAAGACCGTTTCAAACCTGAACTATCAAAGAAAGGTTCAACACTGTGAGTTGAATGCAAACATCACGAAGAGGGTTCAGAGAATGCTTCTGTTTAGTTCTGTGCGGTTTATCCCGTTTCCAACGAAATCCTCAGAGAGGACCAAATATCCACTTGCAGTTTCTACAAGAAGAGTGTTTCAAAGCTGAACTATCAAAGAAAGGTTCAGCACTGTGAGTTGAATGCAAACATCACGAAGAGGGTTCTGAGAATGCTTCTGTCTTCTTTCTATAGGAAGTTATTTCCTTTACTACGGTAGGCCTCAAAGAAGTGCAATTATCCCCTTGCAGTTTCTACAAAAAGAGTGTTTCAAACCTGAACTATCAAAGAAAGGTTCCACACTGTGAGTTGAATGCAGACATCACGAAGAAGGTTCTGAGAATGCTTCTGTTTAGTCAGCTGAAATTATCCCGTTTCCAACGAATTCCTCAGAGAGGTCCAAATATGCACTTGCAGATTCTGCAGAAAGTGTGTTTCTAAACTGCTACATCGCAAGGAATGCTCACCTCTGTGAGTTCAAATCAATCATCCCAAACAATTTTCTGAGAAAGCTTCTGTCTAGATGTCGTGTGAAGATATACCCGTTTCGAACGAAGGACACAGAGTGGTCCAAATATCCACTTGTAGATCCTGCAAAAAGAGTGTTTCAAACGTGAACTTTGAAAGGAAAGTTCAACTCTGGGATTTGAATGCAAACATCACAAAGAAGATTCTGAGACTGCTTCTGTATAGTTTTTATGTGAAGATGATTCCGTTTCCAACGAAATCTTCAAAGAGGTCTACATGTCCCCTTGCAGATGCCACAGAAAGAGAGTTTCAAAACTGCGCTCTCAAAAGGAGTGTTCAACTCCGTGAGTTGAATGCAGTCATCACAGAGAAGCTTCTGAGAATGCTTCTATCTAGTATTTAGGTGAAGATATTTCCTTTTCCACCACAAACCACAAAGCCCTCCAAACGTCCACTTGCAGATTCTAGAAAAAGAGTGTTTCATAGCTGCTCTTTCCAAAGGAAAGTTCAACTCTGGGAGTTGAATACAAACATCACCAAAAAGTTCCTGAGAATGCATCTGTCTAGTTTTTCTATGAAGCTATTCCCTTTACTACCATAGGCCTCAAAGCGCTCCAAATCTCCACTTGCACATTCCACAAGAAGAGTGTTTCCAAACTGCTCTATCAATAGGAATGTTCAACTCTGTGAGGTGAATGCAATCATCACAATGCAGTTTCTGAGAATGCTTCCGTTTAGTTAGGTGCAGTTATCCCGTTTCCAACGAAATCCTCAGAGAGGTCCAAATATCCACTTGTAGATTCTACAAAAGGTGTGTCTCAAACCTGCTCCATCCAAAGGAATGTTCAGCTCTGTGAGTTAAACTCAATCATCACAAAGTATTTTCTGAGAATGCTTCTGTCTAGATTTTATGCGAAGATGTACCCGTTTCGAACGAAGGCCACAGAGTGGTCCAAATATCCACTTGCAGATCCTACAAAAAGAGTGTTTCAAACCTGAACTCTCAAAGGAAGGTTCAACTCTGGGATTTGAATGCAAACATCACCAAGAAGTTTCTGAGAATGCTTCTGTTTAGTTTTTATGTGAAGATATTCCCGTTGCCAAAGACATCTTCGGAGAGGTCCACATATCCGCTTGCAGATTCCACAAAAAGAGAGTTTCAACACTGCTCTATCCATAGGAGGGTTCAACTCTGTGAGTTGAATGCAATCATCACAGAGAAGTTTCTGAGAAGGCTTCTCTCCAGTTTTTATGTGACCATAATTCGTTTTCCACCACAGACCTGAAAGCGCTCCAAATGTCCACTTGCAGACACTACGAAAAGCATGTTTCAGAACTACTCTATGAGAAGCAATGTGAAACTCTGGGAGTTGAACAAAAACATCACAGAGAAGTTTCTGAGAATGCTTCTGTTTAGCTTTTCTGTGAAGATTCTCCCGTTTCCAACGAAATCTTCAAAGAGGTCCAAATATCCACTTGCAGATTCCACAGAAAGAGTGATTGGAAACTGCTCTTTGAAAAGGAACCTTCAACTCTGTGACTTGTATGCAATCATCACAAAGAAGTTTCTGACAATGCTTCTATCTAGCTTTTACGGGAAGATAATTCCTTTTCCACCACAGGCCTCAAAGCCCTCCAAATGTCCACTTGCAGATTCTGGAAAAAGAGTGTTTCAAAGCTTCTCTCTCGAAAGGAAAGTTCAACTCTGTGAGTTGAATGCAAGCATCACAAAGAAGTTTCTGAGAATGCTACTGTCTAGCTTTTATATGAAGCTATTTCCTTTACTACCATAGTCCTCAAAGCGGTCCATATCTCCACTTGCAGATTCTACACAAAGAGAGTTTCCAAACTGCTCTGTCAAAGGGAATGTTCAACTCTGTGACTTGAATGCAATCATCACAAAGTAGTTTCTGAGAATGCTTCTGTTTTAGTTCTGTGCGTTTTATCCCGTTTCCAACGAAATCCTCAGAGAGGCCCAAATATCCACTTGCAGATTCTACAAATAGTGTGTTTCGAAACTGCTCCATCCAAAGGAATGTTCAGCTCTGTGAGTTAAACTCAGTCGTCACCAAGAGTTTTCTGTGAATGCTTCTGTTTTAGTTCTGTGCGGGTTATCCCGTTTCCAACGAAATCCTCAGAGAGGTCCAAATATCTACTTGCAGTTTCTACAGAAAGACCGTTTCAAACCTGAACTATCAAAGAAAGGTTCAACACTGTGAGTTGAATGCAAACATCACGAAGAAGGTTCTGAGAATGCTTCTGTTTAGTTCTGTGCAGTTTATCCCGTTTCCAACGAAATGCTCAGAGAGGACCAAATATCCACTTGCAGTTTCTACAAAAAGAGTGTTTCAAAGCTGAACTATCAAAGAAAGGTTCAGCACTATGAGTTGAATGCAAACATCACGAAGAGGGTTCTGAGAATGCTTCTGTCTTCTTTCTATAGGAAGTTATTTCCTTTACTACGGTAGGCCTCAAAGAAGTGCAATTATCCCCTTGCAGTTTCTACAAAAAGAGTGTTTCAAACCTGAACTATCAAAGAAAGGTTCCACACTGTGAGTTGAATGCAGACATCACGAAGAAGGTTCTGAGAATGCTTCTGTTTAGTCAGCTGAAATTATCCCGTTTCCAACGAATTCCTCAGAGAGGTCCAAATATGCACTTGCAGATTCTGCAGAAAGTGTGTTTCTAAACTGCTACATCGCAAGGAATGTTCAGCTCTGTGAGTTCCACTCAATCATCCCAAAGAATTTTCTGAGAAAGCTTCTGTCTAGATGTCGTGTGAAGATATACCCGTTTCGAACGAAGGACACAGAGTGGTCCAAATATCCACTTGTAGATCCTGCAAAAAGAGTGTTTCAAACGTGAACTTTGAAAGGAAAGTTCAACTCTGGGATTTGAATGCAAACATCACAAAGAAGATTCTGAGACTGCTTCTGTATAGTTTTTATGTGAAGATGATTCCGTTTCCAACGAAATCTTCAAAGAGGTCTACATGTCCCCTTGCAGATGCCACAGAAAGAGAGTTTCAAAACTGCGCTCTCAAAAGGAGTGTTCAACTCCGTGAGTTGAATGCAGTCATCACAGAGAAGCTTCTGAGAATGCTTCTCTCTAGTATTTAGGTGAAGATATTTCCTTTTCCACCACAAACCACAAAGCCCTCCAAACGTCCACTTGCAGATTCTAGAAAAAGAGTGTTTCATAGCTGCTCTTTCCAAAGGAAAGTTCAACTCTGGGAGTTGAATACAAACATCACCAAAAAGTTCCTGAGAATGCATCTGTCTAGTTTTTCTATGAAGCTATTCCCTTTACTACCACAGGCCTCAAAGCGCTCCAAATCTCCACTTGCACATTCCGCAACAAGAGTGTTTCCAAACTGCTCTATCAATAGGAATGTTCAACTCTGTGAGGTGAATGCAATCATCACAAAGCAGTTTCTGAGAATGCTTCCGTTTAGTTAGGTGCAGTTATCCCGTTTCCAACGAAATCCTCAGAGAGGTCCAAATATCCACTTGTAGATTCTACAAAAAGTGTGTCTCAAACCTGCTCCATCCAAAGGAATGGTCAGCTCTGTGATTTAAACTCAATCATCACAAAGTATTTTCTGAGAATGCTTCTGTCTAGATTTTATGCGAAGATATACCCGTTTCGAACGAAGGCCACAGAGTGGTCCAAATAGCCACTTGCAGATCCTACAAAAAGAGTGTTTCAAACCTGAACTATCAAAGGAAGGTTCAACTCTGGGATTTGAATGCAAACATCACCAAGAAGTTTCTGAGAATGCTTCTGTTTAGTTTTTATGTGAAGATATTCCCGTTTCCAAAGACATCTTCGGAGAGGTCCACATATCCACTTGCAGATTCCACAAAAAGAGAGTTTCAACACTGCTCTATCCATAGGAGGGTTCAACTCTGTGAGTTGAATGCAATCATCACAGAGAAGTTTCTGAGAAGGCTTCTCTCCAGTTTTTATGTGACCATAATTCGTTTTCCACCACAGGCCTGAAAGCGCTCCAAATGTCCACTTGCAGACACTACGAAAAGCATGTTTCAGAACTACTCTATGAAAAGCAACGTGAAACTCTGGGAGTTGAACACAAACATCACAGAGAAGTTTCTGAGAATGCTTCTGTTTAGCTTTTCTGTGAAGATTCTCCCGTTTCCAACGAAATCTTCAAAGAGGTCCAAATATCCACTTGCAGATTCCACAGAAAGAGTGATTGGAAACTGCTCTTTGAAAAGGAACCTTCAACTCTGTGACTTGAATGCAATCATCACAAAGAAGTTTCTGACAATGCTTTCTATCTAGCTTTTACGGGAAGATAATTCCTTTTCCACCACAGGCCTCAAAGCCCTCCAAATGTCCACTTGCAGATTCTGGAAAAAGAGTGTTTCAAAGCTTCTCTCTCGAAAGGAAAGTTCAACTCTGTGAGTTGAATGCAAGCATCACAAAGAAGTTTCTGAGAATGCTACTGTCTAGCTTTTATATGAAGCTATTTCCTTTACTACCATAGGCCTCAAAGCGGTCCATATCTCCACTTGCAGATTCTACACAAAGAGAGTTTCCAAACTGCTCTGTCAAAGGGAATGTTCAACTCTGTGACTTGAATGCAATCATCACAAAGTAGTTTCTGAGAATGCTTCTGTTTAGTTCTGTGCGGTTTATCCCGTTTCCAACGAAATCCTCAGAGAGGCCCAAATATCCACTTGCACATTCTACAAATAGTGTGTTTCGAAACTGCTCCATCCAAAGTAATGTTCAGCTCTGTGAGTTAAACTCAGTCGTCACCAAGAGTTTTCTGTGAATGCTTCTGTTTTAGTTCTGTGCGGGTTATCCCGTTTCCAACGAAATCCTCAGAGAGGTCCAAATATCTACTTGCAGTTTCTACAGAAAGACCGTTTCAAACCTGAACTATCAAAGAAAGGTTCAACACTGTGAGTTGAATGCAAACATCACGAAGAAGGTTCTGAGAATGCTTCTGTTTTAGTTCTGTGCGGTTTATCCCGTTTCCAACGAAATCCTCAGAGAGGACCAAACATCCACTTGCAGTTTCTACAAAAAGAGTGTTTCAAAGCTGCACTATCAAAGAAAGGTTCAGCACTGTGAGTTGAATGCAAACATCACGAAGAGGGCTCTGAGAATTCTTCTGTCTTCTTTCTATAGGAAGTTATTTCCTTTACTACGGTAGGCCTCAAAGAAGTGCAATTATCCCCTTGCAGTTTCTACAAAAAGAGTGTTTCAAACCTGAACTATCAAAGAAAGGTTCCACACTGTGAGTTGAATGCAGACATCACGAAGAAGGTTCTGAGAATGCTTCTGTTTAGTCAGCTGAAATTATCCCGTTTCCAACGAATTCCTCAGAGAGGTCCAAATATGCACTTGCAGATTCTGCAGAAAGTGTGTTTCTAAACTGCTACATCGCAAGGAATGTTCAGCTCTGTGAGTTCCACTCAATCATCCCAAAGAATTTTCTGAGAAAGCTTCTGTCTAGATGTCGTGTGAAGATATACCCGTTTCGAACGAAGGACACAGAGTGGTCCAAATATCCACTTGTAGATCCTGCAAAAAGAGTGTTTCAAACGTGAACTTTGAAAGGAAAGTTCAACTCTGGGATTTGAATGCAAACATCACAAAGAAGATTCTGAGACTGCTTCTGTATAGATTTTATGTGAAGATGATTCCGTTTCCAACGAAATCTTCAAAGAGGTCTACATGTCCCCTTGCAGATGCCACAGAAAGAGAGTTTCAAAACTGCGCTCTCAAAAGGAGTGTTCAACTCCGTGAGTTGAATGCAGTCATCACAGAGAAGCTTCTGAGAATGCTTCTATCTAGTATTTAGGTGAAGATATTTCCTTTTCCACCACAATCCACAAAGCACTCCAAACGTCCACTTGCAGATTCTAGAAAAAGAGTGTTTCATAGCTGCTCTTTCCAAAGGAAAGCTCAACTCTGGGAGTTGAATACAAACATCACCAAAAAGTTCCTGAGAATGCATCTGTCTAGTTTTTCTATGAAGCTATTCCCTTTACTACCATAGGCCTCAAAGCGCTCCAAATCTCCACTTGCACATTCCACAACAAGAGTGTTTCCAAACTGCTCTATCAATAGGAATGTTCAACTCTGTGAGGTGAATGCAATCATCACAAAGCAGTTTCTGAGAATGCTTCCGTTTAGTTAGGTGCAGTTATCGCGTTTCCAACGAAATCCTCAGAGAGGTCCAAATATCCACTTGTAGATTCTACAAAAAGTGTGTCTCAAACCTGCTCCATCCAAAGGAATGTTCAGCTCTGTGAGTTAAACTCAATCATCACAAAGTATTTTCTGAGAATGCTTCTGTCTAGATTTTATGCGAAGATATACCCGTTTCGAACGAAGGCCACAGAGTGGTCCAAATAGCCACTTGCAGATCCTACAGAAAGAGTGTTTCAAACCTGAACTATCAAAGGAAGGTTCAACTCTGGGATTTGAATGCAAACATCACCAAGAAGTTTCTGAGAATGCTTCTGTTTAGTTTTTATGTGAAGATATTCCCGTTTCCAAAGACATCTTCGGAGAGGTCCACATATCCACTTGCAGATTCCACAAAAAGAGAGTTTCAACACTGCTCTATCCATAGGAGGGTTCAACTCTGTGAGTTGAATGCAATCATCACAGAGAAGTTTCTGAGAAGGCTTCTCTCCAGTTTTTATGGGACCATAATTCGTTTTCCACCACAGGCCTGAAAGCGCTCCAAATGTCCACTTGCAGACACTACGAAAAGCATGTTTCAGAACTACTCTATGAAAAGCAATGTGAAACTCTGGGAGTTGAACACAAACATCACAGAGAAGTTTCTGGAGAATGCTTCTGTTTAGCTTTTCTGTGAAGATTCTCCCGTTTCCAACGAAATCTTCAAAGAGGTCGAAATATCCACTTGCAGATTCCACAGAAAGAGTGATTGGAAACTGCTGTTTGAAAAGGAACCTTCAACTCTGTGAGTTGAATGCAATCATCACAAAGAAGTTTCTGACAATGCTTCTATCTAGCTTTTACGGGAAGTTAATTCCTTTTCCACCACAGGCCTCAAAGCCCTCCAAATGTCCACTTGCAGATTCTGGAAAAAGAGTGTTTCAAAGCTTCTCTCTCGAAAGGAAAGTTCAACTCTGTGAGTTGAATGCAAGCATCACAAAGAAGTTTCTGAGAATGCTACTGTCTAGCTTTTATATGAAGCTATTTCCTTTACTACCATAGGCCTCAAAGCGGTCCATATCTCCACTTCCAGATTCTACAGAAAGAGAGTATCCAAACTGCTCTGTTAAAGGGAATGTTCAACTCTGTGACTTGAATGCAATCATCACAAAGTAGTTTCTGAGAATGCTTCTGTTTACTTCTGTGCGGTTTATCCCGTTTCCAACGAAATCCTCAGAGAGGCCCCAATATCCACTTGCACATTCTACAAATAGTGTGTTTCGAAACTGCTCCATCCAAAGGGATGTTCAGCTCTGTGATTTAAACTCAGTCGTCACCAAGAGTTTTCTGTGAATTCTTCTGTTTTAGTTGTGTGAGGTTTATCCCGTTTCCAACGAAATCCTCAGAGAGGTCCAAATATCTACTTGCAGTTTCTACAGAAAGACCGTTTCAAACCTGATCTATCAAAGAAAGGTTCAACACTGTGAGTTGAATGCAAACATCACGAAGAAGGTTCTGAGAATGCTTCTGTTTAGTTCTGTGCAGTTTATCCCGTTTCCAACGAAATGCTCAGAGAGGACCAAATATCCACTTGCAGTTTCTACAAAAAGAGTGTTTCAAAGCTGAACTATCAAAGAAAGGTTCAGCACTGTGAGTTGAATGCAAACATCACGAAGAGGGTTCTGAGAATGCTTCTGTCTTCTTTCTATAGGAAGTTATTTCCTTTACTACGGTAGGCCTCAAAGAAGTGCAATTATCCCCTTGCAGTTTCTACAAAAAGAGTGTTTCAAACCTGAACTATCAAAGAAAGGTTCCACACTGTGAGTTGAATGCAGACATCACGAAGAAGGTTCTGAGAATGCTTCTGTTTAGTCAGCTGAAATTATCCCGTTTCCAACGAATTCCTCAGAGAGGTCCAAATATGCACTTGCAGATTCTGCAGAAAGTGTGTTTCTAAACTGCTACATCGCAAGGAATGTTCAGCTCTGTGAGTTCCACTCAATCATCCCAAAGAATTTTCTGAGAAAGCTTCTGTCTAGATGTCGTGTGAAGATATACCCGTTTCGAACGAAGGACACAGAGTGGTCCAAATATCCACTTGTAGATCCTGCAAAAAGAGTGTTTCAAACGTGAACTTTGAAAGGAAAGTTCAACTCTGGGATTTGAATGCAAACATCACAAAGAAGATTCTGAGACTGCTTCTGTATAGTTTTTATGTGAAGATGATTCCGTTTCCAACGAAATCTTCAAAGAGGTCTACATGTCCCCTTGCAGATGCCACAGAAAGAGAGTTTCAAAACTGCGCTCTCAAAAGGAGTGTTCAACTCCGTGAGTTGAATGCAGTCATCACAGAGAAGCTTCTGAGAATGCTTCTATCTAGTATTTAGGTGAAGATATTTCCTTTTCCACCACAAACCACAAAGCCCTCCAAACGTCCACTTGCAGATTCTAGAAAAAGAGTGTTTCATAGCTGCTCTTTCCAAAGGAAAGTTCAACTCTGGGAGTTGAATACAAACATCACCAAAAAGTTCCTGAGAATGCATCTGTCTAGTTTTTCTATGAAGCTATTCCCTTTACTACCATAGGCCTCAAAGCGCTCCAAATCTCCACTTGCACATTCCACAACAAGAGTGTTTCCAAACTGCTCTATCAATAGGAATGTTCAACTCTGTGAGGTGAATGCAATCATCACAAAGCAGTTTCTGAGAATGCTTCCGTTTAGTTAGGTGCAGTTATCCCGTTTCCAACGAAATCCTCAGAGAGGTCCAAATATCCACTTGTAGATTCTACAAAAAGTGTGTCTCAAACCTGCTCCATCCAAAGGAATGGTCAGCTCTGTGATTTAAACTCAATCATCACAAAGTATTTTCTGAGAATGCTTCTGTCTAGATTTTATGCGAAGATATACCCGTTTCGAACGAAGGCCACAGAGTGGTCCAAATAGCCACTTGCAGATCCTACAAAAAGAGTGTTTCAAACCTGAACTATCAAAGGAAGGTTCAACTCTGGGATTTGAATGCAAACATCACCAAGAAGTTTCTGAGAATGCTTCTGTTTAGTTTTTATGTGAAGATATTCCCGTTTCCAAAGACATCTTCGGAGAGGTCCACATATCCACTTGCAGATTCCACAAAAAGAGAGTTTCAACACTGCTCTATCCATAGGAGGGTTCAACTCTGTGAGTTGAATGCAATCATCACAGAGAAGTTTCTGAGAAGGCTTCTCTCCAGTTTTTATGTGACCATAATTCGTTTTCCACCACAGGCCTGAAAGCGCTCCAAATGTCCACTTGCAGACACTACGAAAAGCATGTTTCAGAACTACTCTATGAAAAGCAATGTGAAATTCTGGGAGTTGAACACAAACATCACAGAGAAGTTTCTGAGAATGCTTCTGTTTAGCTTTTCTGTGAAGATTCTCCCGTTTCCAACGAAATCTTCAAAGAGGTCCAAATATCCACTTGCAGATTCCACAGAAAGAGTGATTGGAAACTGCTCTTTGAAAAGGAACCTTCAACTCTGTGACTTGAATGCAATCATCACAAAGAAGTTTCTGACAAAGCTTCTATCTAGCTTTTACGGGAAGATAATTCCTTTTCCACCACAGGCCTCAAAGCCCTCCAAATGTCCACTTGCACATTCTGGAAAAAGAGTGTTTCAAAGCTTCTCTCCCGAAAGGAAAGTTCAACTCCGTGAGTTGAATGCAAGCATCACAAAGAAGTTTCTGAGAATGCTACTGTCTAGCTTTTATATGAAGCTATTTCCTTTACTACCATAGGCCTCAAAGCGGTCCATATCTCCACTTGCAGATTCTACACAAAGAGAGTTTCCAAACTGCTCTGTCAAAGGGAATGTTCAACTCTGTGACTTGAATGCAATCATCACAAAGTAGTTTCTGAGAATGCTTCTGTTTAGTTCTGTGCGGTTTATCCCGTTTCCAACGAAATCCTCAGAGAGGCCCAAATATCCACTTGCACATTCTACAAATAGTGTGTTTCGAAACTGCTCCATCCAAAGGAATGTTCAGCTCTGTGAGTTAAACTCAGTCGTCACCAAGAGTTTTCTGTGAATGCTTCTGTTTAGTTCTGTGCGGTTTATCCCGTTTCCAACGAAATCCTCAGAGAGGTCCAAATATCTACTTGCAGTTTCTACAGAAAGACCGTTTCAAACCTGAACTATCAAAGAAAGGTTCAACACTGTGAGTTGAATGCAAACATCACGAAGAAGGTTCTGAGAATGCTTCTGTTTAGTTCTGTGCCGTTTATCCCTTTTCCAACGAAATCCTCAGAGAGGACCAAATATTCACTTGCAGTTTCTACAAAAAGAGTGTTTCAAAGCTGAACTATCGAAGAAAGGTTCAGCACTGTGAGTTGAATGCAAACATCACGAAGAGGGTTCTGAGAATGCTTCTGTCTTCTTTTTATAGGAAGTTATTTCCTTTACTACGGTAGGCCTCAAAGAAGTGCAATTATACACTTGCAGTTTCTACAAAAAGAGTGTTTCAAACCTGAACTATCAAAGAAAGGTTCCACACTGTGAGTTGAATGCAGACATCACGAAGAAGGTTCTGAGAATGCTTCTGTTTAGTCAGCTGAAATTATCCCGTTTCCAACGAATTCCTCAGAGAGGTCCAAATATGCACTTGCAGATTCTGCAGAAAGTGTGTTTCTAAACTGCTACATCGCAAGGAATGTTCAGCTCTGTGAGTTCAACTCAATCATCCCAAAGAATTTTCTGAGAAAGCTTCTGTCTAGATGTCGTGTGAAGTTATACCCGTTTCGAACGAAGGACACAGAGTGGTCCAAATATCCACTTGTAGATCCTGCAAAAAGAGTGTTTCAAACGTGAACTTTGAAAGGAAAGTTCAACTCTGGGATTTGAATGCAAACATCACAAAGAAGATTCTGAGACTGCTTCTGTATAGTTTTTATGTGAAGATGATTCCGTTTCCAACGAAATCTTCAAAGAGGTCTACATGTCCCCTTGCAGATGCCACAGAAAGAGAGTTTCAAAACTGCGCTCTCAAAAGGAGTGTTCAACTCCGTGAGTTGAATGCAGTCATCACAGAGAAGCTTCTGAGAATGCTTCTATCTAGTATTTAGGTGAAGATATTTCCTTTTCCACCACAAACCACAAAGCCCTCCAAACGTCCACTTGCAGATTCTAGAAAAAGAGTGTTTCATAGCTGCTCTTTCCAAAGGAAAGTTCAACTCTGGGAGTTGAATACAAACATCACCAAAAAGTTCCTGAGAATGCATCTGTCTAGTTTTTCTATGAAGCTATTCCCTTTACTACCATAGGCCTCAAAGCGCTCCAAATCTCCACTTGCACATTCCACAACAAGAGTGTTTCCAAACTGCTCTATCAATAGGAATGTTCAACTCTGTGAGGTGAATGCAATCATCACAAAGCAGTTTCTGAGAATGCTTCCGTTTAGTTAGGTGCAGTTATCCCGTTTCCAACGAAATCCTCAGAGAGGTCCAAATATCCACTTGTAGATTCTACAAAAAGTGTGTCTCAAACCTGCTCCATCCAAAGGAATGGTCAGCTCTGTGATTTAAACTCAATCATCACAAAGTATTTTCTGAGAATGCTTCTGTCTAGATTTTATGGGAAGATGTACCCGTTTCGAACGAAGGCCACAGAGTGGTCCAAATATCCACTTGCAGATCCTACAAAAAGAGTGTTTCAAACCTGAACTATCAAAGGAAGGTTCAACTCTGGGATTTGAATGCAAACATCACCAAGAAGTTTCTGAGAATGCTTCTGTTTAGTTTTTATGTGAAGATATTCCCGTTTCCAAAGACATCTTCGGAGAGGTCCACATATCCACTTGCAGATTCCACAAAAAGAGAGTTTCAACACTGCTCTATCCATAGGAGGGTTCAACTCTGTGAGTTGAATGCAATCATCACAGAGAAGTTTCTGAGAAGGCTTCTCTCCAGTTTTTATGTGACCATAATTCGTTTTCCACCACAGGCCTGAAAGCGCTCCAAATGTCCACTTGCAGACACTACGAAAAGCATGTTTCAGAACTACTCTATGAAAAGCAACGTGAAACTCTGGGAGTTGAACACAAACATCACAGAGAAGTTTCTGAGAATGCTTCTGTTTTAGTTCTGTGCGTTTTATCCCGTTTCCAACGAAATCCTCAGAGAGGCCCAAATATCCACTTGCAGATTCCACAGAAAGAGTGATTGGAAACTGCTGTTTGAAAAGGAACCTTCAACTCTGTGAGTTGAATGCAATCATCACAAAGAAGTTTCTGACAATGCTTCTATCTAGCTTTTACGGGAAGATAATTCCTTTTCCACCACAGGCCTCAAAGCCCTCCAAATGTCCACTTGCAGATTCTGGAAAAAGAGTGTTTCAAAGCTTCTCTCTCGAAAGGAAAGTTCAACTCTGTGAGTTGAATGCAAGCATCACAAAGAAGTTTCTGAGAATGCTACTGTCTAGCTTTTATATGAAGCTATTTCCTTTACTACCATAGGCCTCAAAGCGGTCCATATCTCCACTTGCAGATTCTACACAAAGAGAGTTTCCAAACTGCTCTGTCAAAGGGAATGTTCAACTCTGTGACTTGAATGCAATCATCACAAAGTAGTTTCTGAGAATGCTTCTGTTTAGTTCTGTGCGGTTTATCCCGTTTCAAACGAAATCCTCAGAGAGGCCCAAATATCCAGTTGCACATTCTACAAATAGTGTGTTTCGAAACTGCTCCATCCAAAGGAATGTTCAGCTCTGTGAGTTAAACTCAGTCGTCACCAAGAGTTTTCTGTGAATGCTTCTGTTTTAGTTCTGTGCGGTTTATCCCGTTTCCAACGAAATCCTCAGAGAGGTCCAAATATCTACTTGCAGTTTCTACAGAAAGACCGTTTCAAACCTGAACTATCAAAGAAAGGTTCAACACTGTGAGTTGAATGCAAACATCACGAAGAAGGTTCTGAGAATGCTTCTGTTTAGTTCTGTGCGTTTTATCCCGTTTCCAACGAAATCCTCAGAGAGGACCAAATATTCACTTGCAGTTTCTACAAAAAGAGTGTTTCAAAGCTGAACTATCAAAGAAAGGTTCAGCACTGTGAGTTCAATGCAAACATCACGAAGAGGGTTCTGAGAATGCTTCTGTCTTCTTTTTATAGGAAGTTATTTCCTTTACTACGGTACTCCTCAAAGAGTGCAATTATCCCCTTGCAGTTTCTACAAAAAGAGTGTTTCAAACCTGAACTATCAAAGAAAGGTTCCACACTGTGAGTTGAATGCAGACATCACGAAGAAGGTTCTGAGAATGCTTCTGTTTAGTCAGCTGAAATTATCCCGTTTCCAACGAATTCCTCACAGAGGTCCAAATATGCACTTGCAGATTCTGCAGAAAGTGTGTTTCTAAACTGCTACATCGCAAGGAATGCTCAGCTCTGTGAGTTCAACTCAATCATCCCAAAGAATTTTCTGAGAAAGCTTCTGTCTAGATGTCATGTGAAGATATACCCGTTTCGAACGAAGGACACAGAGTGGTCCAAATATCCACTTGTAGATCCTGCAAAAAGAGTGTTTCAAACGTGAACTTTGAAAGGAAAGTTCAACTCTGGGATTTGAATGCAAACATCACAAAGAAGATTCTGAGACTGCTTCTGTATAGTTTTTATGTGAAGATGATTCCGTTTCCAACGAAATCTTCAAAGAGGTCTACATGTCCCCTTGCAGATGCCACAGAAAGAGAGTTTCAAAACTGCGCTCTCAAAAGGAGTGTTCAACTCCGTGAGTTGAATGCAGTCATCACAGAGAAGCTTCTGAGAATGCTTCTATCTAGTATTTAGGTGAAGATATTTCCTTTTCCACCACAAACCACAAAGCCCTCCAAACGTCCACTTGCAGATTCTAGAAAAAGAGTGTTTCATAGCTGCTCTTTCCAAAGGAAAGTTCAACTCTGGGAGTTGAATACAAACATCACCAAAAGGTTCCTGAGAATGCATCTGTCTAGTTTTTCTATGAAGCTATTCCCTTTACTACCATAGACCTCAAAGCGCTCCAAATCTCCACTTGCACATTCCACAACAAGAGTGTTTCCAAACTGCTCTATCAATAGGAATGTTCAACTCTGTGAGGTGAATGCAATCATCACAAAGCAGTTTCTGAGAATGCTTCCGTTTAGTTAGGTGCAGTTATCCCGTTTCCAACGAAATCCTCAGAGAGGTCCAAATATCCACTTGTAGATTCTACAAAAAGTGTGTCTCAAACCTGCTCCATCCAAAGGAATGGTCAGCTCTGTGATTTAAACTCAATCATCACAAAGTATTTTCTGAGAATGCTTCTGTCTAGATTTTATGCGAAGATATACCCGTTTCGAACGAAGGCCACAGAGTGGTCCAAATATCCACTTGCAGATCCTACAAAAAGAGTGTTTCAAACCTGAACTATCAAAGGAAGGTTCAACTCTGGGATTTGAATGCAAACATCACCAAGAAGTTTCTGAGAATGCTTCTGTTTAGTTTTTATGTGAAGATATTCCCGTTTCCAAAGACATCTTCGGAGAGGTCCACATATCCACTTGCAGATTCCACAAAAAGAGAGTTTCAACACTGCTCTATCCATAGGAGGGTTCAACTCTGTGAGTTGAATGCAATCATCACAGAGAAGTTTCTGAGAAGGCTTCTCTCCAGTTTTTATGTGACCATAATTCGTTTTCCACCACAGGCCTGAAAGCGCTCCAAATGTCCACTTGCAGACACTACGAAAAGCATGTTTCAGATCTACTCTATGAAAAGCAACGTGAAACTCTGGGAGTTGAACACAAACATCACAGAGAAGTTTCTGAGAATGCTTCTGTTTAGCTTTTCTGTGAAGATTCTCCTGTTTCCAACGAAATCTTCAAAGAGGTCGAAATATCCACTTGCAGATTCCACAGAAAGAGTGATTGGAAACTGCTGTTTGAAAAGGAACCTTCAACTCTGTGAGTTGAATGCAATCATCACAAAGAAGTTTCTGACAATGCTTCTATCTAGCTTTTACGGGAAGATAATTCCTTTTCCACCACAGGCCTCAAAGCCCTCCAAATGTCCACTTGCAGATTCTGGAAAAAGAGTGTTTCAAAGCTTCTCTCTCGAAAGGAAAGTTCAACTCTCTGAGTTGAATGCAAGCATCACAAAGAAGTTTCTGAGAATGCTACTGTCTAGCTTTTATATGAAGCTATTTCCTTTACTACCATAGGCCTCAAAGCGGTCCATATCTCCACTTGCAGATTCTACACAAAGAGAGTTTCCAAACTGCTCTGTCAAAGGGAATGTTCAACTCTGTGACTTGAATGCAATCATCACAAAGTAGTTTCTGAGAATGCTTCTGTTTTAGTTCTGTGCGTTTTATCCCGTTTCCAACGAAATCCTCAGAGAGGCCCAAATATCCACTTGCAGATTCTACAAATAGTGTGTTTCGAAACTGCTCCATCCAAAGGAATGTTCAGCTCTGTGAGTTAAACTCAGTCGTCACCAAGAGTTTTCTGTGAATGCTTCTGTTTTAGTTCTGTGCGGGTTATCCCGTTTCCAACGAAATCCTCAGAGAGGTCCAAATATCTACTTGCAGTTTCTACAGAAAGACCGTTTCAAACCTGAACTATCAAAGAAAGGTTCAACACTGTGAGTTGAATGCAAACATCACGAAGAAGGTTCTGAGAATGCTTCAGTTTAGTTCTGTGCGGTTTATCCCGTTACCAACGAAATCCTCAGAGAGGACCAAATATCCACTTGCAGTTTCTACAAAAAGAGTGTTTCAAAGCTGAACTATCAAAGAAAGGTTCAGCACCGTGAGTTGAATGCAAACATCACGAAGAGGGTTCTGAGAATGCTTCTGTCTTCTTTTTATAGGAAGTTATCTCCTTTACTACGGTAGGCCTCAAAGAAGTGCAATGATCCCCTTGCAGTTTCTACAAAAAGAGTGTTTCAAACCTGAACTATCAAAGAAAGGTTCCACACTGTGAGTTGAATGCAGACATCACGAAGAAGGTTCTGAGAATGCTTCTGTTTAGTCAGCTGAAATTATCCCGTTTCCAACGAATTCCTCAGAGAGGTCCAAATATGCACTTGCAGATTCTGCAGAAAGTGTGTTTCTAAACTGCTACATCGCAAGGAATGTTCAGCTCTGTGAGTTCCACTCAATCATCCCAAAGAATTTTCTGAGAAAGCTTCTGTCTAGATGTCGTGTGAAGATATACCCGTTTCGAACGAAGGACACAGAGTGGTCCAAATATCCACTTGTAGATCCTGCAAAAAGAGTGTTTCAAACGTGAACTTTGAAAGGAAAGTTCAACTCTGGGATTTGAATGCAAACATCACAAAGAAGATTCTGAGACTGCTTCTGTATAGTTTTGATGTGAAGATGATTCCGTTTCCAACGAAATCTTCAAAGAGGTCTACATGTCCCCTTGCAGATGCCACAGAAAGAGAGTTTCAAAACTGCGCTCTCAAAAGGAGTGTTCAACTCCGTGAGCTGAATGCAGTCATCACAGAGAAGCTTCTGAGAATGCTTCTATCTAGTATTTAGGTGAAGATATTTCCTTTTCCACCACAAACCACAAAGCCCTCCAAACGTCCACTTGCAGATTCTAGAAAAAGAGTGTTTCATAGCTGCTCTTTCCAAAGGAAAGTTCAACTCTGGGAGTTGAATACAAACATCACCAAAAAGTTCCTGAGAATGCATCTGTCTAGTTTTTCTATGAAGCTATTCCCTTTACTACCATAGGCCTCGAAGCGCTCCATATCTCCACTTGCACATTCCACAACAAGAGTGTTTCCAAACTGCTCTATCAATAGGATTGGTCAACTCTGTGAGGTGAATGCAATCATCACAAAGCAGTTTCTGAGAATGCTTCCGTTTAGTTAGGTGCAGTTATCCCGTTTCCAACGAAATCCTCAGAGAGGTCCAAATATCCACTTGTAGATTCTACAAAAAGTGTGTCTCAAACCTGCTCCATCCAAAGGAATGTTCAGCTCTGTGAGTTAAACTCAATCATCACAAAGTATTTTCTGAGAATGCTTCTGTCTAGATTTTATGCGAAGATATACCCGTTTCGAACGAAGGCCACAGAGTGGTCCAAATATCCACTTGCAGATCCTACAAAAAGAGTGTTTCAAACCTGAACTATCAAAGGAAGGTTCAACTCTGGGATTTGAATGCAAACATCACCAAGAAGTTTCTGAGAATGCTTCTGTTTAGTTTTTATGTGAAGATATTCCCGTTTCCAAAGACATCTTCGGAGAGGTCCACATATCCACTTGCAGATTCCACAAAAAGAGAGTTTCAACACTGCTCTATCCATAGGAGGGTTCAACTCTGTGAGTTGAATGCAATCATCACAGAGAAGTTTCTGTGAAGGCTTCTCTCCAGTTTTTATGTGACCATAATTCGTTTTCCACCACAGGCCTGAAAGCGCTCCAAATGTCCACTTGTAGACACTACGAAAAGCATGTTTCAGAACTACTCTATGAAAAGCAATGTGAAACTCTGGGAGTTGAACACAAACATCACAGAGAAGTTTCTGAGAATGCTTCTGTTTTAGTTCTGTGCGTTTTATCCCGTTTCCAACGAAATCCTCAGAGAGGCCCAAATATCCACTTGCAGATTCCACAGAAAGAGTGATTGGAAACTGCTGTTTGAAAAGGAACCTTCAACTCTGTGAGTTGAATGCAATCATCACAAAGAAGTTTCTGACAATGCTTCTATCTAGCTTTTACGGGAAGATAATTCCTTTTCCACCACAGGCCTCAAAGCCCTCCAAATGTCCACTTGCAGATTCTGGAAAAAGAGTGTTTCAAACCTTCTCTCTCGAAAGGAAAGTTCAACTCTGTGAGTTGAATGCAAGCATCACAAAGAAGTTTCTGAGAATGCTACTGTCTAGCTTTTATATGAAGCTATTTCCTTTACTACCATAGGCCTCAAAGCATTCCATATCTCCACTTGCAGATTCTAAACAAAGAGAGTTTCCAAACTGCTCTGTCAAAGGGAATGTTCAGCTCTGTGACTTGAATGCAATCATCACAAAGTAGTTTCTGAGAATTCTTCTGTTTTAGTTCTGTGCGTTTTATCCCGTTTCCAACGAAATCCTCAGAGAGGCCCAAATATCCACTTGCAGATTCTACAAATAGTGTGTTTCGAAACTGCTCCATCCAAAGGAATGTTCAGCTCTGTGAGTTAAACTCAGTCGTCACCAAGAGTTTTCTGTGAATGCTTCCGTTTAGTTAGGTGCAGTTATCCCGTTTCCAACGAAATCCTCAGAGAGGTCCAAATATCTACTTGCAGTTTCTACAGAAAGACCGTTTGAAACCTGAACTATCAAAGAAAGTTTCAACACTGTGAGTTGAATGCAAACATCACGAAGAAGGTTCTGAGAATGCTTCTGTTTAGTTCTGTGCGGTTTATCCCGTTTCCAACGAAATCCTCAGAGAGGACCAAATATCCACTTGCAGTTTCTACAAGAAGAGTGTTTCAAAGCTGAACTATCAAAGAAAGGTTCAGCACTGTGAGTTGAATGCAAACATCACGAAGAGGGTTCTGAGAATGCTTCTGTCTTCTTTTTATAGGAAGTTATTTCCTTTACTACGGTACTCCTCAAAGAGTGCAATTATCCCCTTGCAGTTTCTACAAAAAGAGTGTTTCAAACCTGAACTATCAAAGAAAGGTTCCACACTGTGAGTTGAATGCAGACATCACGAAGAAGGTTCTGAGAATGCTTCTGTTTAGTCAGCTGAAATTATCCCGTTTCCAACGAATTCCTCAGAGAGGTCCAAATATGCACTTGCAGATTCTGCAGAAAGTGTGTTTCTAAACTGCTACATCGCAAGGAATGTTCAGCTCTGTGAGTTCCACTCAATCATCCCAAAGAATTTTCTGAGAAAGCTTCTGTCTAGATGTCATGTGAAGGTATACCCGTTTCGAACGAAGGACACAGAGTGGTCCAAATATCCACTTGTAGATCCTGCAAAAAGAGTGTTTCAAACGTGAACTTTGAAAGGAAAGTTCAACTCTGGGATTTGAATGCAAACATCACAAAGAAGATTCTGAGACTGCTTCTGTATAGTTTTTATGTGAAGATGATTCCGTTTCCAACGAAATCTTCAAAGAGGTCTACATGTCCCCTTGCAGATGCCACAGAAAGAGAGTTTCAAAACTGCGCTCTCAAAAGGAGTGTTCAACTCCGTGAGTTGAATGCAGTCATCACAGAGAAGCTTCTGAGAATGCTTCTATCTAGTATTTAGGTGAAGATATTTCCTTTTCCACCACAAACCACAAAGCCCTCCAAACGTCCACTTGCAGATTCTAGAAAAAGAGTGTTTCATAGCTGCTCTTTCCAAAGGAAAGTTCAACTCTGGGAGTTGAATACAAACATCACCAAAAAGTTCCTGAGAATGCATCTGTCTAGTTTTTCTATGAAGCTATTCCCTTTACTACCACAGGCCTCAAAGCGCTCCAAATCTCCACTTGCACATTCCACAACAAGAGTGTTTCCAAACTGCTCTATCAATAGGAATGTTCAACTCTGTGAGGTGAATGCAATCATCACAAAGCAGTTTCTGAGAATGCTTCCGTTTAGTTAGGTGCAGTTATCGCGTTTCTAACGAAATCCTCAGAGAGGTCCAAATATCCACTTGTAGATTCTACAAAAAGTGTGTCTCAAACCTGCTCCATCCAAAGGAATGTTCAGCTCTGTGAGTTAAACTCAATCATCACAAAGTATTTTCTGAGAATGCTTCTGTCTAGATTTTATGTGAAGATGTACCCGTTTCGAACGAAGGCCACAGAGTGGTCCAAATATCCACTTGCAGATCCTACAAAAAGAGTGTTTCAAACCTGAACTATCACAGGAAGGTTCAACTCTGGGATTGGAATGCAAACATCACCAAGAAGTTTCTGAGAATGCTTCTGTTTAGTTTTTATGTGAAGATATTCCCGTTTCCAAAGACATCTTCGGAGAGGTCCACATATCCACTTGCAGATTCCACAAAAAGAGAGTTTCAACACTGCTCTATCCATAGGAGGGTTCAACTCTGTGAGTTGAATGCAATCATCACAGAGAAGTTTCTGAGAAGGCTTCTCTCCAGTTTTTATGGGACCATAATTCGTTTTCCACCACAGGCCTGAAAGCGCTCCAAATGTCCACTTGCAGACACTACGAAAAGCATGTTTCAGAACTACTCTATGAAAAGCAATGTGAAACTCTGGGAGTTGAACACAAACATCACAGAGAAGTTTCTGAGAATGCTTCTGTTTAGCTTTTCTGTGAACATTATCCCGTTTCCAACGACATCTTCAAAGAGGTCCAAATATCCACTTGCAGATTCCACAGAAAGAGTGTTTGGAAAGTGCTGTTTATAAAGGAAACTTCAACTCTGTGAGTTGAATGCTATCATCACGAAGATGTTTCTGACAATGCTTCTATCTAGCTTTTACGGGAAGATAATTCCTTTTCCACCACAGGCCTCAAAGCCCTCCAAATGTCCACTTGCAGATTCTGGAAAAAGAGTGTTTCAAAGCTTCTCTCTCGAAAGGAAAGTTCAACTCTGTGAGTTGAATGCAAGCATCACAAAGAAGTTTCTGAGAATGCTACTGTCTAGCTTTTATATGAAGCTATTTCCTTTACTACCATAGTCCTCAAAGCGGTCCATATCTCCACTTTCAGATTCTACACAAAGAGAGTTTCCAAACTGCTCTGTCAAAGGGAATGTTCAACTCTGTGACTTGAATGCAATCATAACAAAGTAGTTTCTGAGAATGCTTCTGTTTAGTTCTGTGCGGTTTATCCCGTTTCCAACGAAATCCTCAGAGAGGCCCCAATATCCACTTGCACATTCTACAAATAGTGTGTTTCCAAACTGCTCCATCCAAAGGGATGTTCAGCTCTGTGATTTAAACTCAGTCGTCACCAAGAGTTTTCTGTGAATGCTTCTGTTTCAGTTCTGTGCGGTTTATCCCGTTTCCAACGAAATCCTCAGAGAGGTCCAAATATCCAGTTGCAGTTTCTACAAAAAGAGTGTTTCAAAGCTGAACTATCAAAGAAAGGTTCAGCACTGTGAGTTGAATGCAAACATCACGAAGAAGGTTCTGAGAATGCTTCTGTTTAGTTCTGTGCGGTTTATCCCGTTTCCAACGAAATCCTCAGAGAGGACCAAATATCCACTTGCAGTTTCTACAAGAAGAGTGTTTCAAAGCTGAACTATCAAAGAAAGGTTCAGCACTGTGAGTTGAATGCAAACATCACGAAGAGGGTTCTGAGAATGCTTCTGTCTTCTTTCTATAGGAAGTTATTTCCTTTACTACGGTAGGCCTCAAAGAAGTGCAATTATCCCCTTGCAGTTTCTACAAAAAGAGTGTTTCAAACCTGAACTATCAAAGAAAGGTTCCACACTGTGAGTTGAATGCAGACATCACGAAGAAGGTTCTGAGAATGCTTCTGTTTAGTCAGCTGAAATTATCCCGTTTCCAACGAATTCCTCAGAGAGGTCCAAATATGCACTTGCAGATTCTGCAGAAAGTGTGTTTCTAAACTGCTACATCGCAAGGAATGTTCAGCTCTGTGAGTTCCACTCAATCATCCCAAAGAATTTTCTGAGAAAGCTTCTGTCTAGATGTCATGTGAAGATATACCCGTTTCGAACGAAGGACACAGAGTGGTCCAAATATCCACTTGTAGATCCTGCAAAAAGAGTGTTTCAAACGTGAACTTTGAAAGGAAAGTTCAACTCGGGGATTTGAATGCAAACATCACAAAGAAGATTCTGAGACTGCTTCTGTATAGTTTTTATGTGAAGATGATTCCGTTTCCAACGAAATCTTCAAAGAGGTCTACATGTCCCCTTGCAGATGCCACAGAAAGAGAGTTTCAAAACTGCGCTCTCAAAAGGAGTGTTCAACTCCGTGAGTTGAATGCAGTCATCACAGAGAAGCTTCTGAGAATGCTTCTATCTAGTATTTAGGTGAAGATATTTCCTTTTCCACCACAAACCACAAAGCCCTCCAAACGTCCACTTGCAGATTCTAGAAAAAGAGTGTTTCATAGCTGCTCTTTCCAAAGGAAAGTTCAACTCTGGGAGTTGAATACAAACATCACCAAAAGGTTCCTGAGAATGCATCTGTCTAGTTTTTCTATGAAGCTATTCCCTTTACTACCATAGACCTCAAAGCGCTCCAAATCTCCACTTGCACATTCCACAACAAGAGTGTTTCCAAACTGCTCTATCAATAGGAATGTTCAACTCTGTGAGGTGAATGCAATCATCACAAAGCAGTTTCTGAGAATGCTTCCGTTTAGTTAGGTGCAGTTATCGCGTTTCCAACGAAATCCTCAGAGAGGTCCAAATATCCACTTGTAGATTCTACAAAAAGTGTGTCTCAAACCTGCTCCATCCAAAGGAATGTTCAGCTCTGTGAGTTAAACTCAATCATCACAAAGTATTTTCTGAGAATGCTTCTGTCTAGATTTTATGCGAAGATGTACCCGTTTCGAACGAAGGCCACAGAGTGGTCCAAATATCCACTTGCAGATCCTACAAAAAGAGTGTTTCAAACCTGAACTATCAAAGGAAGGTTCAACTCTGGGATTTGAATGCAAACATCACCAAGAAGTTTCTGAGAATGCTTCTGTTTAGTTTTTATGTGAAGATATTCCCGTTTCCAAAGACATCTTCGGAGAGGTCCACATATCCACTTGCAGATTCCACAAAAAGAGAGTTTCAACACTGCTCTATCCATAGGAGGGTTCAACTCTGTGAGTTGAATGCAATCATCACAGAGAAGTTTCTGAGAAGGCTTCTCTCCAGTTTTTATGTGACCATAATTCGTTTTCCACCACAGGCCTGAAAGCGCTCCAAATGTCCACTTGCAGACACTACGAAAAGCATGTTTCAGAAGTACTCTATGAAAAGCAACGTGAAACTCTGGGAGTTGAACACAAACATCACAGAGAAGTTTCTGAGAATGCTTCTGTTTAGCTTTTCTGTGAAGATTCTCCCGTTTCCAACGAAATCTTCAAAGAGGTCCAAATATCCACTTGCAGATTCCACAGAAAGAGTGTTTGGAACCTGCTGTTTGAAAAGGAACCTTCAACTCTGTGAGTTGAATGCAATCATCAGAAAGAAGTTTCTGACAATGCTTCTATCTAGCTTTTACGGGAAGATAATTCCTTTTCCACCACAGACATCAAAGCCCTCCAAATGTCCACTTGCAGATTCTGGAAAAAGAGTGTTTCAAAGCTTCTCTCTCGAAAGGAAAGTTCAACTCTGTGAGTTGAATGCAAGCATCACAAAGAAGTTTCTGAGAATGCTACTGTCTAGCTTTTATATGAAGCTATTTCCTTTACTACCATAGGCCTCAAAGCATTCCATATCTCCACTTGCAGATTCTAAACAAAGAGAGTTTCCAAACTGCTCTGTCAAAGGGAATGTTCAGCTCTGTGACTTGAATGCAATCATCACAAAGTAGTTTCTGAGAATTCTTCTGTTTTAGTTCTGTGCGTTTTATCCCGTTTCCAACGAAATCCTCAGAGAGGCCCAAATATCCACTTGCAGATTCTACAAATAGTGTGTTTCGAAACTGCTCCATCCAAAGGAATGTTCAGCTCTGTGAGTTAAACTCAGTCGTCACCAAGAGTTTTCTGTGAATGCTTCTGTTTTAGTTCTGTGCGGGTTATCCCGTTTCCAACGAAATCCTCAGAGAGGTCCAAATATCTACTTGCAGTTTCTACAGAAAGACCGTTTCAAACCTGAACTATCAAAGAAAGGTTCAACACTGTGAGTTGAATGCAAACATCACGAAGAAGGTTCTGAGAATGCTTCTGTTTAGTTCTGTGCGGTTTATCCCGTTTCCAACGAAATCCTCAGAGAGGACCAAATATCCACTTGCAGTTTCTACAAGAAGAGTGTTTCAAAGCTGAACTATCAAAGAAAGGTTCAGCACTGTGAGTTGAATGCAAACATCACGAAGAGGGTTCTGAGAATGCTTCTGTCTTCTTTTTATAGGAAGTTATTTCCTTTACTACGGTAGGCCTCAAAGAAGTGCAATGATCCCCTTGCAGTTTCTACAAAAAGAGTGTTTCAAACCTGAACTATCAAAGAAAGGTTCCACACTGTGAGTTGAATGCAGACATCACGAAGAAGGTTCTGAGAATGCTTCTGTTTAGTCAGCTGAAATTATCCCGTTTCCAACGAATTCCTCAGAGAGGTCCAAATATGCACTTGCAGATTCTGCAGAAAGTGTGTTTCTAAACTGCTACATCGCAAGGAATGTTCAGCTCTGTGAGTTCCACTCAATCATCCCAAAGAATTTTCTGAGAAAGCTTCTGTCTAGATGTCGTGTGAAGATATACCCGTTTCGAACGAAGGACACAGAGTGGTCCAAATATCCACTTGTAGATCCTGCAAAAAGAGTGTTTCAAACGTGAACTTTGAAAGGAAAGTTCAACTCTGGGATTTGAATGCAAACATCACAAAGAAGATTCTGAGACTGCTTCTGTATAGTTTTTATGTGAAGATGATTCCGTTTCCAACGAAATCTTCAAAGAGGTCTACATGTCCCCTTGCAGATGCCACAGAAAGAGAGTTTCAAAACTGCGCTCTCAAAAGGAGTGTTCAACTCCGTGAGTTGAATGCAGTCATCACAGAGAAGCTTCTGAGAATGCTTCTATCTAGTATTTAGGTGAAGATATTTCCTTTTCCACCACAAACCACAAAGCCCTCCAAACGTCCACTTGCAGATTCTAGAAAAAGAGTGTTTCATAGCTGCTCTTTCCAAAGGAAAGTTCAACTCTGGGAGTTGAATACAAACATCACCAAAAAGTTCCTGAGAATGCATCTGTCTAGTTTTTCTATGAAGCTATTCCCTTTACTACCATAGGCCTCAAAGCGCTCCAAATCTCCACTTGCACATTCCACAACAAGAGTGTTTCCAAACTGCTCTATCAATAGGAATGTTCAACTCTGTGAGGTGAATGCAATCATCACAAAGCAGTTTCTGAGAATGCTTCCGTTTAGTTAGGTGCAGTTATCCCGTTTCCAACGAAATCCTCAGAGAGGTCCAAATATCCACTTGTAGATTCTACAAAAAGTGTGTCTCAAACCTGCTCCATCCAAAGGAATGTTCAGCTCTGTGAGTTAAACTCAATCATCACAAAGTATTTTCTGAGAATGCTTCTGTCTAGATTTTATGCGAAGATGTACCCGTTTCGAACGAAGGCCACAGAGTGGTCCAAATATCCACTTGCAGATCCTACAAAAAGAGTGTTTCAAACCTGAACTATCAAAGGAAGGTTCAACTCTGGGATTTGAATGCAAACATCACCAAGAAGTTTCTGAGAATGCTTCTGTTTAGTTTTTATGTGAAGATAGTCCCGTTTCCAAAGACATCTTCGGAGAGGTCCACATATCCACTTGCAGATTCCACAAAAAGAGAGTTTCAACACTGCTCTATCCATAGGAGGGTTCAACTCTGTGAGTTGAATGCAATCATCACAGAGAAGTTTCTGAGAAGGCTTCTCTCCAGTTTTTATGTGACCATAATTCGTTTTCCACCACAGGCCTGAAAGCGCTCCAAATGTCCACTTGCAGACACTACGAAAAGCATGTTTCAGAACTACTCTATGAGAAGCAATGTGAAACTCTGGGAGTTGAACACAAACATCACAGAGAAGTTTCTGAGAATGCTTCTGTTTAGCTTTTCTGTGAAGATTCTCCCGTTTCCAACGAAATCTTCAAAGAGGTCCAAATATCCACTTGCAGATTCCACAGAAAGAGTGTTTGGAAACTGCTGTTTGTAAAGGAACCTTCATCTCTGTGAGTTGAATGCAATCATCACAAAGAAGTTTCTGACAATGCTTCTATCTAGCTTTTACGGGAAGATAATTCCTTTTCCACCACAGGCCTCAAAGCCCTCCAAATGTCCACTTGCAGATTCTGGAAAAAGAGTGTTTCAAAGCTTCTCTCTCGAAAGGAAAGTTCAACTCTGTGAGTTGAATGCAAGCATCACAAAGAAGTTTCTGAGAATGCTACTGTCTAGCTTTTATATGAAGCTATTTCCTTTACTACCATAGGCCTCAAAGCGGTCCATATCTCCACTTGCAGATTCTACACAAAGAGAGTTTCCAAACTGCTCTGTCAAAGGGAATGTTCAACTCTGTGACTTGAATGCAATCATCACAAAGTAGTTTCTGAGAATGCTTCTGTTTAGTTCTGTGCGGTTTATCCCTTTTCCAACGAAATCCGCAGAGAGGCCCAAATATCCATTTGCACGTTCTAGAAATAGTGTGTTTCGAAACGGCTCCATCCAAAGGAATGTTCAGCTCTGTGAGTTAAACTCAGTCGTCACCAAGAGTTTTCTGTGAATGCTTCTGTTTAGTTCTGTGCGGTTTATCCCGTTTCCAACGAAATACTCAGAGAGGACCAAATATCCACTTGCAGTTTCTACAAAAAGAGTGTTTCAAAGCTGAACTATCAAAGAAAGGTTCAACACTGTGAGTTGAATGCAAACATCACGAAGAAGGTTCTGAGAATGCTTCTGTTTAGTTCTGTGCGGTTTATCCCGTTTCCAACGAAATCCTCAGAGAGGACCAAATATCCACTTGCAGTTTCTACAAAAAGAGTGTTTCAAAGCTGAACTATCAAAGAAAGGTTCAGCACCGTGAGTTGAATGCAAACATCACGAAGAGGGTTCTGAGAATGCTTCTGTCTTCTTTTTATAGGAAGTTATTTCCTTTACTACGGTAGGCCTCAAAGAAGTGCAATTATCCCCTTGCAGTTTCTACAAAAAGAGTGATTCAAACCTGAACTATCAAAGAAAGGTTCCACACTGTGAGTTGAATGCAGACATCACGAAGAAGGTTCTGAGAATGCTTCTGTTTAGTCAGCTGAAATTATCCCGTTTCTAACGAATTCCTCACAGAGGTCCAAATACGCACTTGCAGATTCTGCAGAAAGTGTGTTTCTAAACTGCTACATCGCAAGGAATGCTCAGCTCTGTGAGTTCAACTCAATCATCCCAAAGAATTTTCTGAGAAAGCTTCTGTCTAGATGTCATGTGAAGATATACCCGTTTCGAACGAAGGACACAGAGTGGTCCAAATATCCACTTGTAGATCCTGCAAAAAGAGTGTTTCAAACGTGAACTTTGAAAGGAAAGTTCAACTCGGGGATTTGAATGCAAACATCACAAAGAAGATTCTGAGACTGCTTCTGTATAGTTTTTATGTGAAGATGATTCCGTTTCCAACGAAATCTTCAAAGAGGTCTACATGTCCCCTTGCAGATGCCACAGAAAGGGAGTTTCAAAACTGCGCTCTCAAAAGGAGTGTTCAACTCCGTGAGTTGAATGCAGTCATCACAGAGAAGCTTCTGAGAATGCTTCTCTCTAGTATTTAGGTGTAGATATTTCCTTTTCCACCACAAACCACAAAGCCCTCCAAACGTCCACTTGCAGATTCTAGAAAAAGAGTGTTTCATAGCTGCTCTTTCCAAAGGAAAGTTCAACTCTGGGAGTTGAATACAAACATCACCAAAAAGTTCCTGAGAATGCATCTGTCTAGTTTTTCTATGAAGCTATTCCCTTTACTACCATAGGCCTCAAAGCGCTCCAAATCTCCACTTGCACATTCCACAACAAGAGTGTTTCCAAACTGCTCTATCAATAGGAATGTTCAACTCTGTGAGGTGAATGCAATCATCACAAAGCAGTTTCTGAGAATGCTTCCGTTTAGTTAGGTGCAGTTATCCCGTTTCCAACGAAATCCTCAGAGAGGTCCAAATATCCACTTGTAGATTCTACAAAAAGTGTGTCTCAAACCTGCTCCATCCAAAGGAATGTTCAGCTCTGTGAGTTAAACTCAATCATCACAAAGTATTTTCTGAGAATGCTTCTGTCTAGATTTTATGCGAAGATATACCCGTTTCGAACGAAGGCCACAGAGTGGTCCAAATAGCCACTTGCAGATCCTACAGAAAGAGTGTTTCAAACCTGAACTATCAAAGGAAGGTTCAACTCTGGGATTTGAATGCAAACATCACCAAGAAGTTTCTGAGAATGCTTCTGTTTAGTTTTTATGTGAAGATATTCCCGTTTCCAAAGACATCTTCGGAGAGGTCCACATATCCACTTGCAGATTCCACAAAAAGAGAGTTTCAACACTGCTCTATCCATAGGAGGGTTCAACTCTGTGAGTTGAATGCAATCATCACAGAGAAGTTTCTGAGAAGGCTTCTCTCCAGTTTTTATGTGACCATAATTCGTTTTCCACCACAGGCCTGAAAGCGCTCCAAATGTCCACTTGCAGACACTACGAAAAGCATGTTTCAGAACTACTCTATGAAAAGCAATGTGAAACTCTGGGAGTTGAACACAAACATCACAGAGAAGTTTCTGAGAATGCTTCTGTTTAGCTTTCCTGTGAAGATTCTCCCGTTTCCAACGAAATCTTCAAAATAGGTCCAAATATCCACTTGCAGATTCCACAGAAAGAGTGATTGGAAACTGCTCTTTGAAAAGGAACCTTCAACTCTGTGAGTTGAATGCAATCATCACAAAGAAGTTTCTGACAATGCTTCTATCTAGCTTTTACGGGAAGATAATTCCTTTTCCACCACAGGCCTCAAAGCCCTCCAAATGTCCACTTGCAGATTCTGGAAAAAGAGTGTTTCAAAGCTTCTCTCTCGAAAGGAAAGTTCAACTCTGTGAGTTGAATGCAAGCATCACAAAGAAGTTTCTGAGAATGCTACTGTCTAGCTTTTATATGAAGCTATTTCCTTTACTACCATAGGCCTCAAAGCGGTCCATATCTCCACTTGCAGATTCTACACAAAGAGAGTTTCCAAACTGCTCTGTCAAAGGGAATGTTCAACTCTGTGACTTGAATGCAATCATCACAAAGTAGTTTCTGAGAATGCTTCTGTTTAGTTCTGTGCGGTTTATCCCGTTTCCAACGAAATCCTCAGAGAGGCCCTAATATCCACTTGCACATTCTACAAATAGTGTGTTTCGAAACTGCTCCATCCAAAGGGATGTTCAGCTCTGTGAGTTAAACTCAGTCGTCACCAAGAGTTTTCTGTGAATGCTTCTGTTTTAGTTCTGTGCGGTTTATCCCGTTTCCAACGAAATCCTCAGAGAGGTCCAAATATCTTCTTGCAGTTTCTACAGAAAGACCGTTTCAAACCTGAACTATCAAAGAAAGGTTCAACACTGTGAGTTGAATGCAAACATCACGAAGAAGGTTCTGAGAATGCTTCTGTTTAGTTCTGTGCGGTTTATCCCGTTTCCAACGAAATCCTCAGAGAGGACCAAATATCCACTTGCAGTTTCTACAAGAAGAGTGTTTCAAAGCTGAACTATCAAAGAAAGTTTCATCGTTGTGAGTTGAATGCAAACATCACGAAGAGGGTTCTGAGAATGCTTCTGTCTTCTTTCTATAGGAAGTTATTTCCTTTACTACGGTAGGCCTCAAAGAAGTGCAATTATCCCCTTGCAGTTTCTACAAAAAGAGTGTTTCAAACCTGAACTATCAAAGAAAGGTTCCACACTGTGAGTTGAATGCAGACATCACGAAGAAGGTTCTGAGAATGCTTCTGTTTAGTCAGCTGAAATTATCCCGTTTCCAACGAATTCCTCAGAGAGGTCCAAATATGCACTTGCAGATTCTGCAGAAAGTGTGTTTCTAAACTGCTACATCGCAAGGAATGTTCAGCTCTGTGAGTTCCACTCAATCATCCCAAAGAATTTTCTGAGAAAGCTTCTGTCTAGATGTCATGTGAAGATATACCCGTTTCGAACGAAGGACACAGAGTGGTCCAAATATCCACTTGTAGATCCTGCAAAAAGAGTGTTTCAAACGTGAACTTTGAAAGGAAAGTTCAACTCTGGGATTTGAATGCAAACATCACAAAGAAGATTCTGAGACTGCTTCTGTATAGTTTTTATGTGAAGATGATTCCGTTTCCAACGAAATCTTCAAAGAGGTCTACATGTCCCCTTGCAGATGCCACAGAAAGAGAGTTTCAAAACTGCGCTCTCAAAAGGAGTGTTCAACTCCGTGAGTTGAATGCAGTCATCACAGAGAAGCTTCTGAGAATGCTTCTATCTAGTATTTAGGTGAAGATATTTCCTTTTCCACCACAAACCACAAAGCCCTCCAAACGTCCACTTGCAGATTCTAGAAAAAGAGTGTTTCATAGCTGCTCTTTCCAAAGGAAAGTTCAACTCTGGGAGTTGAATACAAACATCACCAAAAAGTTCCTGAGAATGCATCTGTCTAGTTTTTCTATGAAGCTATTCCCTTTACTACCATAGGCCTCAAAGCGCTCCAAATCTCCACTTGCACATTCCACAACAAGAGTGTTTCCAAACTGCTCTATCAATAGGAATGTTCAACTCTGTGAGGTGAATGCAATCATCACAAAGCAGTTTCTGAGAATGCTTCCGTTTAGTTAGGTGCAGTTATCCCGTTTCCAACGAAATCCTCAGAGAGGTCCAAATATCCACTTGTAGATTCTACAAAAAGTGTGTCTCAAACCTGCTCCATCCAAAGGAATGTTCAGCTCTGTGAGTTAAACTCAATCATCACAAAGTATTTTCTGAGAATGCTTCTGTCTAGATTTTATGCGAAGATATACCCGTTTCGAACGAAGGCCACAGAGTGGTCCAAATATCCACTTGCAGATCCTACAAAAAGAGTGTTTCAAACCTGAACTATCAAAGGAAGGTTCAACTCTGGGATTTGAATGCAAACATCACCAAGAAGTTTCTGAGAATGCTTCTGTTTAGTTTTTATGTGAAGATATTCCCGTTTCCAAAGACATCTTCGGAGAGGTCCACATATCCACTTGCAGATTCCACAAAAAGAGAGTTTCAACACTGCTCTATCCATAGGAGGGTTCAACTCTGTGAGTTGAATGCAATCATCACAGAGAAGTTTCTGAGAAGGCTTCTCTCCAGTTTTTATGTGACCATAATTCGTTTTCCACCACAGGCCTGAAAGCGCTCCAAATGTCCACTTGCAGACACTACGAAAAGCATGTTTCAGAACTACTCTATGAAAAGCAACGTGAAACTCTGGGAGTTGAACACAAACATCACAGAGAAGTTTCTGAGAATGCTTCTGTTTAGCTTTCCTGTGAAGATTCTCCCGTTTCCAACGAAATCTTCAAAATAGGTCCAAATATCCACTTGCAGATTCCACACAAAGAGTGATTGGAAACTGCTCTTTGAAAAGGAACCTTCAACTCTGTGAGTTGAATGCAATCATCACAAAGAAGTTTCTGACAATGCTTCTATCTAGCTTTTACGGGAAGATAATTCCTTTTCCACCACAGGCCTCAAAGCTCCCCAAATGTCCACTTGCACATTCTGGAAAAAGAGTGTTTCAAAGCTTCTCTCTCGAAAGGAAAGTTCAACTCTGTGAGTTGAATGCAAGCATCACAAAGAAGTTTCTGAGAATGCTACTGTCTAGCTTTTATATGAAGCTATTTCCTTTACTACCATAGGCCTCAAAGCGGTCCATATCTCCACTTGCAGATTCTACACAAAGAGAGTTTCCAAACTGCTCTGTCAAAGGGAATGTTCAACTCTGTGACTTGAATGCAATCATCACAAAGTAGTTTCTGAGAATGCTTCTGTTTTAGTTCTGTGCGTTTTATCCCGTTTCCAACGAAATCCTCAGAGAGGCCCAAATATCCACTTGCAGATTCTACAAATAGTGTGTTTCGAAACTGCTCCATCCAAAGGAATGTTCAGCTCTGTGAGTTAAACTCAGTCGTCACCAAGAGTTTTCTGTGAATGCTTCTGTTTTAGTTCTGTGCGGTTTATCCCGTTTCCAACGAAATCCTCAGAGAGGTCCAAATATCTACTTGCAGTTTCTACAGAAAGACCGTTTCAAACCTGAACTATCAAAGAAAGGTTCAACACTGTGAGTTGAATGCAAACATCACGAAGAAGGTTCTGAGAATGCTTCTGTTTAGTTCTGTGCGTTTTATCCCTTTTCCAACGAAATCCTCAGAGAGGACCAAATATCCACTTGCAGTTTCTACAAAAAGAGTGTTTCAAAGCTGAACTATCAAAGAAAGGTTCAGCACTGTGAGTTGAATGCAAACATCACGAAGATTGTTCTGAGAATGCTTCTGTCTTCTTTTTATAGGAAGTTATTTCCTTTACTACGGTACTCCTCAAAGAGGGCAATTATCCCCTTGCAGTTTCTACAAAAAGAGTGTTTCAAACCTGAACTATCAAAGAAAGGTTCCACACTGTGAGTTGAATGCAGACATCACGAAGAAGGTTCTGAGAATGCTTCTGTTTAGTCAGCTGAAATTATCCCGTTTCCAACGAATTCCTCAGAGAGGTCCAAATATGCACTTGCAGATTCTGCAGAAAGTGTGTTTCTAAACTGCTACATCGCAAGGAATGTTCAGCTCTGTGAGTTCCACTCAATCATCCCAAAGAATTTTCTGAGAAAGCTTCTGTCTAGATGTCATGTGAAGATATACCCGTTTCGAACGAAGGACACAGCAGTGGTCCAAATATCCACTTGTAGATCCTGCAAAAAGAGTGTTTCAAACGTGAACTTTGAAAGGAAAGTTCAACTCTGGGATTTGAATGCAAACACCACAAAGAAGATTCTGAGACTGCTTCTGTATAGTTTTTATGTGAAGATGATTCCGTTTCCAACGAAATCTTCAAAGAGGTCTACATGTCCCCTTGCAGATGCCACAGAAACAGAGTTTCAAAACTGCGCTCTCAAAAGGAGTGTTCAACTCCGTGAGTTGAATGCAGTCATCACAGAGAAGCTTCTGAGAATGCTTCTATCTAGTATTTAGGTGAAGATATTTCCTTTTCCACCACAAACCACAAAGCCCTCCAAACGTCCACTTGCAGATTCTAGAAAAAGAGTGTTTCATAGCTGCTCTTTCCAAAGGAAAGTTCAACTCTGGGAGTTGAATACAAACATCACCAAAAAGTTCCTGAGAATGCATCTGTCTAGTTTTTCTATGAAGCTATTCCCTTTACTACCATAGGCCTCAAAGCGCTCCAAATCTCCACTTGCACATTCCACAACAAGAGTGTTTCCAAACTGCTCTATCAATAGGAATGTTCAACTCTGTGAGGTGAATGCAATCATCACAAAGCAGTTTCTGAGAATGCTTCCGTTTAGTTAGGTGCAGTTATCCCGTTTCCAACGAAATCCTCAGAGAGGTCCAAATATCCACTTGTAGATTCTACAAAAAGTGTGTCTCAAACCTGCTCCATCCAAAGGAATGTTCAGCTCTGTGAGTTCAACTCAATCATCACAAAGTATTTTCTGAGAATGCTTCTGTCTAGATTTTATGCGAAGATATACCCGTTTCGAACGAAGGCCACAGAGTGGTCCAAATAGCCACTTGCAGATCCTACAGAAAGAGTGTTTCAAACCTGAACTATCAAAGGAAGGTTCAACTCTGGGATTTGAATGCAAACATCACCAAGAAGTTTCTGAGAATGCTTCTGTTTAGTTTTTATGTGAAGATATTCCCGTTTCCAAAGACATCTTCGGAGAGGTCCACATATCCACTTGCAGGTTCCACAAAAAGAGAGTTTCAACACTGCTCTATCCATAGGAGGGTTCAACTCTGTGAGTTGAATGCAATCATCACAGAGAAGTTTCTGAGAAGGCTTCTCTCCAGTTTTTATGTGACCATAATTCGTTTTCCACCACAGGCCTGAAAGCGCTCCAAATGTCCACTTGCAGACACTACGAAAAGCATGTTTCAGAACTACTCTATGAAAAGCAACGTGAAACTCTGGGAGTTGAACACAAACATCACAGAGAAGTTTCTGAGAATGCTTCTGTTTAGCTTTCCTGTGAAGATTCTCCCGTTTCCAACGAAATCTTCAAAATAGGTCCAAATATCCACTTGCAGATTCCACAGAAAGAGTGATTGGAAACTGCTCTTTGAAAAGGAACCTTCAACTCTGTGAGTTGAATGCAATCATCACAAAGAAGTTTCTGACAATGCTTCTATCTAGCTTTTACGGGAAGATAATTCCTTTTCCACCACAGGCCTCAAAGCCCTCCAAATGTCCACTTGCAGATTCTGGAAAAAGAGTGTTTCAAAGCTTCTCTCTCGAAAGGAAAGTTCAACTCTGTGAGTTGAATGCAAGCATCACAAAGAAGTTTCTGAGAATGCTACTGTCTAGCTTTTATATGAAGCTATTTCCTTTACTACCATAGGCCTCAAAGCGGTCCATATCTCCACTTGCAGATTCTACACAAAGAGAGTTTCCAAACTGCTCTGTCAAAGGGAATGTTCAACTCTGTGACTTGAATGCAATCATCACAAAGTAGTTTCTGAGAATGCTTCTGTTTAGTTCTGTGCGGTTTATCCCGTTTCCAACGAAATCCTCAGAGAGGCCCAAATATCCACTTGCACATTCTACAAATAGTGTGTTTCGAAACTGCTCCATCCAAAGGAATGTTCAGCTCTGTGAGTTAAACTCAGTCGTCACCAAGGGTTTTCTGTGAATGCTTCTGTTTTAGTTCTGTGCGGTTTATCCCGTTTCCAACGAAATCCTCAGAGAGGTCCAAATATCTACTTGCAGTTTCTACAGAAAGACCGTTTCCAACCTGAACTATCAAAGAAAGGTTCAACACTGTGAGTTGAATGCAAACATCACGAAGAAGGTTCTGAGAATGCTTCTGTTTTAGTTCTGTGCGGTTTATCCCGTTTCCAACGAAATCCTCAGAGAGGACCAAACATCCACTTGCAGTTTCTACAAAAAGAGTGTTTCAAAGCTGCACTATCAAAGAAAGGTTCAGCACTGTGAGTTGAATGCAAACATCACGAAGAGGGCTCTGAGAATTCTTCTGTCTTCTTTCTATAGGAAGTTATTTCCTTTACTACGGTAGGCCTCAAAGAAGTGCAATTATCCCCTTGCAGTTTCTACAAAAAGAGTGTTTCAAACCTGAACTATCAAAGAAAGGTTCCACACTGTGAGTTGAATGCAGACATCACGAAGAAGGTTCTGAGAATGCTTCTGTTTAGTCAGCTGAAATTATCCCGTTTCCAACGAATTCCTCAGAGAGGTCCAAATATGCACTTGCAGATTCTGCAGAAAGTGTGTTTCTAAACTGCTACATCGCAAGGAATGTTCAGCTCTGTGAGTTCCACTCAATCATCCCAAAGAATTTTCTGAGAAAGCTTCTGTGTAGATGTCATGTGAAGATATACCCGTTTCGAACGAAGGACACAGAGTGGTCCAAATATCCACTTGTAGATCGTGCAAAAAGAGTGTTTCAAACGTGAACTTTGAAAGGAAAGTTCAACTCTGGGATTTGAATGCAAACATCACAAAGAAGATTCTGAGACTGCTTCTGTATAGTTTTTATGTGAAGATGATTCCGTTTCCAATCAAATCTTCAAAGAGGTCTACATGTCCCCTTGCAGATGCCACAGAAAGAGAGTTTCAAAACTGCGCTCTCAAAAGGAGTGTTCAACTCCGTGAGTTGAATGCAGTCATCACAGAGAAGCTTCTGAGAATGCTTCTATCTAGTATTTAGGTGAAGATATTTCCTTTTCCACCACAAACCACAAAGCCCTCCAAAAGTCCACTTGCAGATTCTAGAAAAAGAGTGTTTCATAGCTGCTCTTTCCAAAGGAAAGTTCAACTCTGGGAGTTGAATACAAACATCACCAAAAAGTTCCTGAGAATGCATCTGTCTAGTTTTTCTATGAAGCTATTCCCTTTACTACCATAGGCCTCAAAGCGCTCCAAATCTCCACTTGCACATTCCACAACAAGAGTGTTTCCATACTGCTCTATCAAAAGGAATGTTCAACTCTGTGAGGTGAATGCAATCATCACAAAGCAGTTTCTGAGAATGCTTCCGTTTAGTTAGGTGCAGTTATCCCGTTTCCAACGAAATCCTCAGAGAGGTCCAAATATCCACTTGTAGATTCTACAAAAAGTGTGTCTCAAACCTGCTCCATCCAAAGGAATGTTCAGCTCTGTGAGTTAAACTCAATCATCACAAAGTATTTTCTGAGAATGCTTCTGTCTAGATTTTATGCGAAGATGTACCCGTTTCGAACTAAGGCCACAGAGTGGTCCAAATATCCACTTGCAGATCCTACAAAAAGAGTGTTGCAAACCTGAACTATCAAAGGAAGGTTCAACTCTGGGATTTGAATGCAAACATCACCAAGAAGTTTCTGAGAATGCTTCTGTTTAGTTTTTATGTGAAGATATTCCCGTTGCCAAAGACATCTTCGGAGAGGTCCACATATCCGCTTGCAGATTCCACAAAAAGAGAGTTTCAACACTGCTCTATCCATAGGAGGGTTCAACTCTGTGAGTTGAATGCAATCATCACAGAGAAGTTTCTGAGAAAGGCTTCTCTCCAGTTTTTATGTGACCATAATTCGTTTTCCACCACAGGCCTGAAAGCGCTCCAAATGTCCACTTGCAGACACTACGAAAAGCATGTTTCAGAACTACTCTATGAAAAGCAACGTGAAACTCTGGGAGTTGAACACAAACATCACAGAGAAGTTTCTGAGAATGCTTCTGTTTTAGTTCTGTGCGTTTTATCCCGTTTCCAACGAAATCCTCAGAGAGGCCCAAATATCCACTTGCAGATTCCACAGAAAGAGTGATTGGAAACTGCTGTTTGAAAAGGAACCTTCAACTCTGTGAGTTGAATGCAATCATCACAAAGAAGTTTCTGACAATGCTTCTGTCTAGCTTTTACGGGAAGATAATTCCTTTTCCACCACAGGCCTCAAAGCCCTCCAAATGTCCACTTGCAGATTCTGGAAAAGAGTGTTTCAAAGCTTCTCTCTCGAAAGGAAAGTTCAACTCTGTGAGTTGAATGCAAGCATCACAAAGAAGTTTCTGAGAATGCTACTGTCTAGCTTTTATATGAAGCTATTTCCTTTACTACCATAGGCCTCAAAGCGGTCCATATCTCCACTTGCAGATTCTACACAAAGAGAGTTTCCAAACTGCTCTGTCAAAGGGAATGTTCAACTCTGTGACTTGAATGCAATCATCACAAAGTAGTTTCTGAGAATGCTTCTGTTTAGTTCTGTGCGGTTTATCCCGTTTCCAACGAAATCCTCAGAGAGGCCCAAATATCCACTTGCACATTCTACAAATAGTGTGTTTCGAAACTGCTCCATCCAAAGGAATGTTCAGCTCTGTGAGTTAAACTCAGTCGTCACCAAGAGTTTTCTGTGAATGCTTCTGTTTTAGTTCTCTGCGGTTTATCCCGTTTCCAACGAAATCCTCAGAGAGGTCCAAATACCTACTTGCAGTTTCTACAGAAAGACCGTTTCAAACCTGAACTATCAAAGAAAGGTTCAACACTGTGAGTTGAATGCAAACATCACGAAGAAGGTTCTGAGAATGCTTCTGTTTAGTTCTGTGCGGTTTATCCCGTTTCCAACGAAATCCTCAGAGAGGACCAAATATCCACTTGCAGTTTCTACAAGAAGAGTGTTTCAAAGCTGAACTATCAAAGAAAGGTTCAGCACTGTGAGTTGAATGCAAACATCACGAAGAGGGTTCTGAGAATGCTTCTGTCTTCTTTTTATAGGAAGTTATTTCCTTTACTACGGTAGGCCTCAAAGAAGTGCAATTATCCCCTTGCAGTTTCTACAAAAAGAGTGTTTCAAACCTGAACTATCAAAGAAAGGTTCCACACTGTGAGTTGAATGCAGACATCACGAAGAAGGTTCTGAGAATGCTTCTGTTTAGTCAGCTGAAATTATCCCGTTTCCAACGAATTCCTCAGAGAGGTCCACATATGCACTTGCAGATTCTGCAGAAAGTGTGTTTCTAAACTGCTACATCGCAAGGAATGTTCAGCTCTGTTTGCTCACCTCAATCATCCCAAAGAATTTTCTGAGAAAGCTTCTGTCTAGATGTCATGTGAAGATATACCCGTTTCGAACGAAGGACACAGAGTGGTCCAAATATCCACTTGTAGATCCTGCAAAAAGAGTGTTTCAAACGTGAACTTTGAAAGGAAAGTTCAACTCTGGGATTCGAATGCAAACATCACAAAGAAGATTCTGAGACTGCTTCTGTATAGTTTTTATGTGAAGATGATTCCGTTTCCAACGAAATCTTCAAACAGGTCTACATGTCCCCTTGCAGATGCCACAGAAAGAGAGTTTCAAAACTGCGCTCTCAAAAGGAGTGTTCAACTCCGTGAGTTGAATGCAGTCATCACAGAGAAGCTTCTGAGAATGCTTCTATCTAGTATTTAGGTGAAGATATTTCCTTTTCCACCACAAACCACAAAGCCCTCCAAACGTCCACTTGCAGATTCTAGAAAAAGAGTGTTTCATAGCTGCTCTTTCCAAAGGAAAGTTCAACTCTGGGAGTTGAATACAAACATCACCAAAAAGTTCCTGAGAATGCATCTGTCTAGTTTTTCTATGAAGCTATTCCCTTTACTACCATAGGCCTCAAAGCGCTCCAAATCTCCACTTGCACATTCCACAACAAGAGTGTTTCCAAACTGCTCTATCAATAGGAATGTTCAACTCTGTGAGGTGAATGCAATCATCACAAAGCAGTTTCTGAGAATGCTTCCCGTTTAGTTAGGTGCAGTTATCCCGTTTCCAACGAAATCCTCAGAGAGGTCCAAATATCCACTTGTAGATTCTACAAAAAGTGTGTCTCAAACCTGCTCCATCCAAAGGAATGTTCAGCTCTGTGAGTTAAACTCAATCATCACAAAGTATTTTCTGAGAATGCTTCTGTCTAGATTTTATGCGAAGATATACCCGTTTCGAACGAAGGCCACAGAGTGGTCCAAATAGCCACTTGCAGATCCTACAGAAAGAGTGTTTCAAACCTGAACTATCAAAGGAAGGTTCAACTCTGGGATTTGAATGCAAACATCACCAAGAAGTTTCTGAGAATGCTTCTGTTTAGTTTTTATGTGAAGATATTCCCGTTTCCAAAGACATCTTCGGAGAGGTCCACATATCCACTTGCAGATTCCACAAAAAGAGAGTTTCAACACTGCTCTATCCATAGAGGGTTCAACTCTGTGAGTTGAATGCAATCATCACAGAGAAGTTTCTGAGAAGGCTTCTCTCCAGTTTTTATGTGACCATAATTCGTTTTCCACCACAGGCCTGAAAGCGCTCCAAATGTCCACTTGCAGACACTACGAAAAGCATGTTTCAGAACTACTCTATGAGAAGCAACGTGAAACTCTGGGAGTTGAACACAAACATCACAGAGAAGTTTCTGAGAATGCTTCTCTTTAGCTTTTCTGTGAAGATTCTCCCGTTTCCAACGAAATCTTCAAAGAGGTCGAAATATCCACTTGCAGATTCCACAGAAAGAGTGATTGGAAACTGCTCTTTGAAAAGGAACCTTCAACTCTGTGAGTTGAATGCAATCATCACAAAGAAGTTTCTGACAATGCTTCTATCTAGCTTTTACGGGAAGATAATTCCTTTTCCACCACAGGCCTCAAAGCTCCCCAAATGTCCACTTGCACATTCTGGAAAAAGAGTGTTTCAAAGCTTCTCTCTCGAAAGGAAAGTTCAACTCTGTGAGTTGAATGCAAGCATCACAAAGAAGTTTTCTGAGAATGCTACTGTCTAGCTTTTATATGAAGCTATTTCCTTTACTACCATAGGCCTCAAAGCGGTCCATATCTCCACTTGCAGATTCTACACAAAGAGAGTTTCCAAACTGCTCTGTCAAAGGGAATGTTCAACTCTGTGACTTGAATGCAATCATCACAAAGTAGTTTCTGAGAATGCTTCTGTTTTAGTTCTGTGCGGTTTATCCCGTTTCCAACGAAATCCTCAGAGAGGCCCAAATATCCACTTGCAGATTCTACAAATAGTGTGTTTCGAAACTGCTCCATCCAAAGGAATGTTCAGCTCTGTGAGTTAAACTCAGTCGTCACCAAGAGTTTTACTGTGAATGCTTCTGTTTAGTTCTGTGCGGTTTATCCCGTTTCCAACGAAATCCTCAGAGAGGACCAAATATCCACTTGCAGTTTCTACAAAAAGAGTGTTTCAAAGCTGAACTATCAAAGAAAGGTTCAGCACTGTGAGTTGAATGCAAACATCACGAAGAGGGTTCTGAGAATGCTTCTGTCTTCTTTTTATAGGAAGTTATATCCTTTACTATGGTAGGCCTCAAAGAAGTGCAATTATCCCCTTGCAGTTTCTACAAAAAGAGTGTTTCAAACCTGAACTATCAAATAAAGGTTCCACACTGTGAGTTGAATGCAGACATCACGAAGAAGGTTCTGAGAATGCTTCTGTTTAGTCAGCTGAAATTATCCCGTTTCCAACGAATTCCTCAGAGAGGTCCAAATATGCACTTGCAGATTCTGCAGAAAGTGTGTTTCTAAACTGCTCCATCGCAAGGAATGTTCAGCTCTGTGAGTTCAACTCAATCATCCCAAAGAATTTTCTGAGAAAGCTTACTCTGTCTAGATGTCATGTGAAGATATACCCGTTTCGAACGAAGGACACAGAGTGGTCCAAATATCCACTTGTAGATCCTGCAAAAAGAGTGTTTCAAACGTGAACTTTGAAAGGAAAGTTCAACTCTGGGATTTGAATGCAAACATCACAAAGAAGATTCTGAGACTGCTTCTGTATAGTTTTGATGTGAAGATGATTCCGTTTCCAACGAAATCTTCAAAGAGGTCTACATGTCCCCTTGCAGATGCCACAGAAAGAGAGTTTCAAAACTGCGCTCTCAAAAGGAGTGTTCAACTCCGTGAGTTGAATGCAGTCATCACAGAGAAGCTTCTGAGAATGCTTCTATCTAGTATTTAGGTGAAGATATTTCCTTTTCCACCACAAACCACAAAGCCCTCCAAACGTCCACTTGCAGATTCTAGAAAAAGAGGGTTTCATAGCTGCTCTTTCCAAAGGAAAGTTCAACTCTGGGAGTTGAATACAAACATCACCAAAAAGTTTCTGAGAATGCATCTGTCTAGTTTTTCTATGAAGCTATTCCCTTTACTACCATAGGCCTCAAAGCGCTCCAAATCTCCACTTGCACATTCCACAACAAGAGTGTTTCCAAACTGCTCTATCAATAGGAATGTTCAACTCTGTGAGGTGAATGCAATCATCACAAAGCAGTTTCTGAGAATGCTTCCGTTTAGTTAGGTGCAGTTATCGCGTTTCCAACGAAATCCTCAGAGAGGTCCAAATATCCACTTGTAGATTCTACAAAAAGTGTGTCTCAAACCTGCTCCATCCAAAGGAATGTTCAGCTCTGTGAGTTAAACTCAATCATCACAAAGTATTTTCTGAGAATGCTTCTGTCTAGATTTTATGCGAAGATATACCCGTTTCGAACGAAGGCCACAGAGTGGTCCAAATAGCCACTTGCAGATCCTACAGAAAGAGTGTTTCAAACCTGAACTATCAAAGGAAGGTTCAACTCTGGGATTTGAATGCAAACATCACCAAGAAGTTTCTGAGAATGCTTCTGTTTAGTTTTTATGTGAAGATATTCCCGTTTCCAAAGACATCTTCGGAGAGGTCCACATATCCACTTGCAGATTCCACAAAAAGAGAGTTTCAACAATGCTCTATCCATAGGAGGGTTCAAATCTGTGAGTTGAATGCAATCATCACAGAGAAGTTTCTGAGAAGGCTTCTCTCCAGTTTTTATGGGACCATAATTCGTTTTCCACCACAGGCCTGAAAGCGCTCCAAATGTCCACTTGCAGACACTACGAAAAGCATGTTTCAGAACTACTCTATGAAAAGCAATGTGAAACTCTGGGAGTTGAACACAAACATCACAGAGAAGTTTCTGAGAATGCTTCTGTTTAGCTTTTCTGTGAAGATTCTCCCGTTTCCAACGAAATCTTCAAAGAGGTCGAAATATCCACTTGCAGATTCCACAGAAAGAGTGATTGGAAACTGCTGTTTGAAAAGGAACCTTCAACTCTGTGAGTTGAATGCAATCATCACAAAGAAGTTTCTGACAATGCTTCTATCTAGCTTTTACGGGAAGATAATTCCTTTTCCACCACAGGCCTCAAAGCCCTCCAAATGTCCACTTGCAGATTCTGGAAAAAGAGTGTTTCAAAGCTTCTCTCTCGAAAGGAAAGTTCAACTCTGTGAGTTGAATGCAAGCATCACAAAGAAGTTTCTGAGAATGCTACTGTCTAGCTTTTATATGAAGCTATTTCCTTTACTACCATAGGCCTCAAAGCGGTCCATATCTCCACTTGCAGATTCTACACAAAGAGAGTTTCCAAACTGCTCTGTCAAAGGGAATGTTCAACTCTGTGACTTGAATGCAATCATCACAAAGTAGTTTCTGAGAATGCTTCTGTTTTAGTTCTGTGCGGTTTATCCCGTTTCCAACGAAATCCTCAGAGAGGCCCAAATATCCACTTGCAGATTCTACAAATAGTGTGTTTCGAAACTGCTCCATCCAAAGGAATGTTCAGCTCTGTGAGTTAAACTCAGTCGTCACCAAGAGTTTTCTGTGAATGCTTCTGTTTTAGTTCTGTGCGGGTTATCCCGTTTCCAACGAAATCCTCAGAGAGGTCCAAATATCTACTTGCAGTTTCTACAGAAAGACCGTTTCAAACCTGAACTATCAAAGAAAGGTTCAACACTGTGAGTTGAATGCAAACATCACGAAGAAGGTTCTGAGAATGCTTCTGTTTAGTTCTGTGCGGTTTATCCCGTTTCCAACGAAATCCTCAGAGAGGACCAAATATCCACTTGCAGTTTCTACAAGAAGAGTGTTTCAAAGCTGAACTATCAAAGAAAGGTTCAGCACTGTGAGTTGAATGCAAACATCACGAAGAGGGTTCTGAGAATGCTTCTGTCTTCTTTCTATAGGAAGTTATTTCCTTTACTACGGTAGGCCTCAAAGAAGTGCAATTATCCCCTTGCAGTTTCTACAAAAAGAGTGTTTCAAACCTGAACTATCAAAGAAAGGTTCCACACTGTGAGTTGAATGCAGACATCACGAAGAAGGTTCTGAGAATGCTTCTGTTTAGTCAGCTGAAATTATCCCGTTTCCAACGAATTCCTCAGAGAGGTCCAAATATGCACTTGCAGATTCTGCAGAAAGTGTGTTTCTAAACTGCTACATCGCAAGGAATGTTCAGCTCTGTGAGTTCCACTCAATCATCCCAAAGAATTTTCTGAGAAAGCTTCTGTCTAGATGTCGTGTGAAGATATACCCGTTTCGAACGAAGGACACAGAGTGGTCCAAATATCCACTTGTAGATCCTGCAAAAAGAGTGTTTCAAACGTGAACTTTGAAAGGAAAGTTCAACTCTGGGATTTGAATGCAAACATCACAAAGAAGATTCTGAGACTGCTTCTGTATAGTTTTTATGTGAAGATGATTCCGTTTCCAACGAAATCTTCAAAGAGGTCTACATGTCCCCTTGCAGATGCCACAGAAAGAGAGTTTCAAAACTGCGCTCTCAAAAGGAGTGTTCAACTCCGTGAGTTAAATGCAGTCATCACAGAGAAGCTTCTGAGAATGCTTCTGTCTAGTATTTAGGTGAAGATATTTCCTTTTCCACCACAAACCACAAAGCCCTCCAAACGTCCACTTGCAGATTCTAGAAAAAGAGTGTTTCATAGCTGCTCTTTCCAAAGGAAAGTTCAACTCTGGGAGTTGAATATAAACATCACCAAAAAGTTCCTGAGAATGCATCTGTCTAGTTTTTCTATGAAGTTATTCCCTTTACTACCATAGGCCTCAAAGCGCTCCAAATCTCCACTTGCACATTCCACAACAGGAGTGTTTCCAAACTGCTCTATCAATAGGAATGTTCAACTCTGTGAGGTGAATGCAATCATCACAAAGCCGTTTCTGAGAATGCTTCCGTTTAGTTAGGTGCAGTTATCCCGTTTCCAACGAAATCCTCAGGAGTAGGTCCAAATATCCACTTGTAGATTCTACAAAAAGTGTGTCTCAAACCTGCTCCATCCAAAGGAATGGTCAGCTCTGTGATTTAAACTCAATCATCACAAAGTATTTTCTGAGAATGCTTCTGTCTAGATTTTATTCGAAGATGTACCCGTTTCGAACGAAGGCCACAGAGTGGTCCAAATATCCACTTTCAGATCCTACAAAAAGAGTGTTTCAAACCTGAACTCTCAAAGGAAGGTTCAACTCTGGGATTTGAATGCAAACATCACCAAGAAGTTTCTGAGAATGCTTCTGTTTAGTTTTTATGTGAAGATATTCCCGTTTCCAAAGACATCTTCGGAGAGGTCCACATATCCACTTGCAGATTCCACAAAAAGAGAGTTTCAACACTGCTCTATCCATAGGAGGGTTCAACTCTGTGAGTTGAATGCAATCATCACAGAGAAGTTTCTGAGAAGGCTTCTCTCCAGTTTTTATGTGACCATAATTCGTTTTCCACCACAGGCCTGAAAGCGCTCCAAATGTCCACTTGCAGACACTACGAAAAGCATGTTTCAGAACTACTCTATGAAAAGCAACGTGAAACTCTGGGAGTTGAACACAAACATCACAGAGAAGTTTCTGAGAATGCTTCTGTTTTAGTTCTGTGCGTTTTATCCCGTTTCCAACGAAATCCTCAGAGAGGCCCAAATATCCACTTGCAGATTCCACAGAAAGAGTGATTGGAAACTGCTGTTTGAAAAGGAACCTTCAACTCTGTGAGTTGAATGCAATCATCACAAAGAAGTTTCTGACAATGCTTCTATCTAGCTTTTACGGGAAGATAATTCCTTTTCCACCCCAGGCCTCAAAGCTCCCCAAATGTCCACTTGCACATTCTGGAAAAAGAGTGTTTCAAAGCTTCTCTCTCGAAAGGAAAGTTCAACTCTGTGAGTTGAATGCAAGCATCACAAAGAAGTTTCTGAGAATGCTACTGTCTAGCTTTTATATGAAGCTATTTCCTTTACTACCATAGGCCTCAAAGCGGTCCATATCTCCACTTGCAGATTCTACACAAAGAGAGTTTCCAAACTGCTCTGTCAAAGGGAATGTTCAACTCTGTGACTTGAATGCAATCATCACAAAGTAGTTTCTGAGAATGCTTCTGTTTTAGTTCTGTGCGGTTTATCCCGTTTCCAACGAAATCCTCAGAGAGGCCCACATATCCACTTGCAGATTCTACAAATAGTGTGTTTTGAAACTGCTCCATCCAAAGGAATGTTCAGCTCTGTGAGTTAAACTCAGTCGTCACCAAGAGTTTTCTGTGAATGCTTCTGTTTTAGTTCTGTGCGGGTTATCCCGTTTCCAACGAAATCCTCAGAGAGGTCCAAATATCTACTTGCAGTTTCTACAGAAAGACCGTTTCAAACCTGAACTATCAAAGAAAGGTTCAACACTGTGAGTTGAATGCAAACATCACGAAGAAGGTTCTGAGAATGCTTCTGTTTTAGTTCCGTGCGGTTTATCCCGTTTCCAACGAAATCCTCAGAGAGGACCAAATATCCACTTGCAGTTTCTACAAAAAGAGTGTTTCAAAGCTGAACTATCAAAGAAAGGTTCAGCACTGTGAGGTGAATGCAAACATCACGAAGAAGGTTCTGAGGATGCTTCTGTCTTCTCTCTATAGGAAGTTATTTCCTTTACTACGGTAGGCCTCAAAGAAGTGCAATTATCCCCTTGCAGTTTCTACAAAAAGAGTGTTTCAAACCTGAACTATCAAAGAAAGGTTCCACACTGTGAGTTGAATGCAGACATCACGAAGAAGGTTCTGAGAATGCTTCTGTTTAGTCAGCTGAAATTATCCCGTTTCCAACGAATTCCTCGGAGAGGTCCAAATATGCACTTGCAGATTCTGCAGAAAGTGTGTTTCTAAACTGCTACATCGCAAGGAATGTTCAGCTCTGTGAGTTCCACTCAATCATCCCAAAGAATTTTCTGAGAAAGCTTCTGTCTAGATGTCATGTGAAGATATACCCGTTTCGAACGAAGGACACAGAGTGGTCCAAATATCCACTTGTAGATCCTGCAAAAAGAGTGTTTCAAACGTGAACTTTGAAAGGCAAGTTCAACTCTGGGATTTGAATGCAAACATCACAAAGAAGATTCTGAGACTGCTTCTGTATAGTTTTTATGTGAAGATGATTCCGTTTCCAACGAAATCTTCAAAGAGGTCTACATGTCCCCTTGCAGATGCCACAGAAAGAGAGTTTCAAAACTGCGCTCTCAAAAGGAGTGTTCAACTCCGTGAGTTGAATGCAGTCATCACAGAGAAGCTTCTGAGAATGCTTCTATCTAGTATTTAGGTGAAGATATTTCCTTTTCCACCACAAACCACAAAGCCCTCCAAACGTCCACTTGCAGATTCTAGAAAAAGAGTGTTTCATAGCTGCTCTTTCCAAAGGAAAGTTCAACTCTGGGAGTTGAATACAAACATCACCAAAAAGTTCCTGAGAATGCATCTGTCTAGTTTTTCTATGAAGCTATTCCCTTTACTACCATAGGCCTCAAAGCGCTCCAAATCTCCACTTGCACATTCCACAACAAGAGTGTTTCCAAACTGCTCTATCAATAGGAATGTTCAACTCTGTGAGGTGAATGCAATCATCACAAAGCAGTTTCTGAGAATGCTTCCGTTTAGTTAGGTGCAGTTATCCCGTTTCCAACGAAATCCTCAGAGAGGTCCAAATATCCACTTGTAGATTCTACAAAAAGTGTGTCTCAAACCTGCTCCATCCAAAGGAATGTTCAGCTCTGTGAGTTAAACTCAATCATCACAAAGTATTTTCTGAGAATGCTTCTGTCTAGATTTTATGCGAAGATATACCCGTTTCGAACGAAGGCCACAGAGTGGTCCAAATAGCCACTTGCAGATCCTACAGAAAGAGTGTTTCAAACCTGAACTATCAAAGGAAGGTTCAACTCTGGGATTTGAATGCAAACATCACCAAGAAGTTTCTGAGAATGCTTCTGTTTAGTTTTTATGTGAAGATATTCCCGTTTCCAAAGACATCTTCGGAGAGGTCCACATATCCACTTGCAGATTCCACAAAAAGAGAGTTTCAACACTGCTCTATCCATAGGAGGGTTCAACTCTGTGAGTTGAATGCAATCATCACAGAGAAGTTTCTGAGAAGGCTTCTCTCCAGTTTTTATGTGACCATAATTCGTTTTCCACCACAGGCCTGAAAGCGCTCCATATGTCCACTTGCAGACACTACGAAAAGCATGTTTCAGAACTACTCTATGAAAAGCAACGTGAAACTCTGGGAGTTGAACACAAACATCACAGAGAAGTTTCTGAGAATGCTTCTGTTTAGCTTTTCTGTGAAGATTCTCCCGTTTCCAACGAAATCTTCAAAGAGGTCGAAATATCCACTTGCAGATTCCACAGAAAGAGTGATTGGAAACTGCTGTTTGAAAAGGAACCTTCAACTCTGTGAGTTGAATGCAATCATCACAAAGAAGTTTCTGACAATGCTTCTATCTAGCTTTTACGGGAAGATAATTCCTTTTCCACCACAGGCCTCAAAGCCCTCCAAATGTCCACTTGCAGATTCTGGAAAAAGAGTGTTTCAAAGCTTCTCTCTCGAAAGGAAAGTTCAACTCTGTGAGTTGAATGCAAGCATCACAAAGAAGTTTCTGAGAATGCTACTGTCTAGCTTTTATATGAAGCTATTTCCTTTACTACCATAGGCCTCAAAGCGGTCCATATCTCCACTTGCAGATTCTACACAAAGAGAGTTTCCAAACTGCTCTGTCAAAGGGAATGTTCAACTCTGTGACTTGAATGCAATCATCACAAAGTAGTTTCTGAGAATGCTTCTGTTTAGTTCTGTGCGGTTTATCCCGTTTCCAACGAAATCCTCAGAGAGGCCCAAATATCCACTTGCACATTCTACAAATAGTGTGTTTCGAAACTGCTCCATCCAAAGGAATGTTCAGCTCTGTGAGTTAAACTCAGTCGTCACCAAGAGTTTTCTGTGAATGCTTCTGTTTTAGTTCTGTGCGGGTTATCCCGTTTCCAACGAAATCCTCAGAGAGGTCCAAATATCTACTTGCAGTTTCTACAGAAAGACCGTTTCAAACCTGAACTATCAAAGAAAGGTTCAACACTGTGAGTTGAATGCAAACATCACGAAGAAGGTTCTGAGAATGCTTCTGTTTTAGTTCTGTGCGGTTTATCCCGTTTCCAACGAAATCCTCAGAGAGGACCAAACATCCACTTGCAGTTTCTACAAAAAGAGTGTTTCAAAGCTGCACTATCAAAGAAAGGTTCAGCACTGTGAGTTGAATGCAAACATCACGAAGAGGGCTCTGAGAATTCTTCTGTCTTCTTTCTATAGGAAGTTATTTCCTTTACTACGGTAGGCCTCAAAGAAGTGCAATTATCCCCTTGCAGTTTCTACAAAAAGAGTGTTTCAAACCTGAACTATCAAAGAAAGGTTCCACACTGTGAGTTGAATGCAGACATCACGAAGAAGGTTCTGAGAATGCTTCTGTTTAGTCAGCTGAAATTATCCCCGTTTCCAACGAATTCCTCAGAGAGGTCCAAATATGCACTTGCAGATTCTGCAGAAAGTGTGTTTCTAAACTGCTACATCGCAAGGAATGTTCAGCTCTGTGAGTTCCACTCAATCATCCCAAAGAATTTTCTGAGAAAGCTTCTGTCTAGATGTCATGTGAAGATATACCCGTTTCGAACGAAGGACACAGAGTGGTCCAAATATCCACTTGTAGATCCTGCAAAAAGAGTGTTTCAAACGTGAACTTTGAAAGGCAAGTTCAACTCTGGGATTTGAATGCAAACATCACAAAGAAGATTCTGAGACTGCTTCTGTATAGTTTTTATGTGAAGATGATTCCGTTTCCAACGAAATCTTCAAAGAGGTCTACATGTCCCCTTGCAGATGCCACAGAAAGAGAGTTTCAAAACTACGCTCTCAAAAGGAGTGTTCAACTCCGTGAGTTGAATGCAGTCATCACAGAGAAGCTTCTGAGAATGCTTCTATCTAGTATTTAGGTGAAGATATTTCCTTTTCCACCACAAACCACAAAGCCCTCCAAACGTCCACTTGCAGATTCTAGAAAAAGAGTGTTTCATAGCTGCTCTTTCCAAAGGAAAGTTCAACTCTGGGAGTTGAATACAAACATCACCAAAAAGTTCCTGAGAATGCATCTGTCTAGTTTTTCTATGAAGCTATTCCCTTTACTACCATAGGCCTCAAAGCGCTCCAAATCTCCACTTGCACATTCCACAACAAGAGTGTTTCCAAACTGCTCTATCAATAGGAATGTTCAACTCTGTGAGGTGAATGCAATCATCACAAAGCAGTTTCTGAGAATGCTTCCCGTTTAGTTAGGTGCAGTTATCCCGTTTCCAACGAAATCCTCAGAGAGGTCCAAATATCCACTTGTAGATTCTACAAAAAGTGTGTCTCAAACCTGCTCCATCCAAAGGAATGGTCAGCTCTGTGATTTAAACTCAATCATCACAAAGTATTTTCTGAGAATGCTTCTGTCTAGATTTTATGCGAAGATATACCCGTTTCGAACGAAGGCCACAGAGTGGTCCAAATAGCCACTTGCAGATCCTACAGAAAGAGTGTTTCAAACCTGAACTATCAAAGGAAGGTTCAACTCTGGGATTTGAATGCAAACATCACCAAGAAGTTTCTGAGAATGCTTCTGTTTAGTTTTTATGTGAAGATATTCCCGTTTCCAAAGACATCTTCGGAGAGGTCCACATATCCACTTGCAGATTCCACAAAAAGAGAGTTTCAACACTGCTCTATCCATAGGAGGGTTCAACTCTGTGAGTTGAATGCAATCATCACAGAGAAGTTTCTGAGAAGGCTTCTCTCCAGTTTTTATGTGACCATAATTCGTTTTCCACCACAGGCCTGAAAGCGCTCCAAATGTCCACTTGCAGACACTACGAAAAGCATGTTTCAGAACTACTCTATGAAAAGCAATGTGAAACTCTGGGAGTTGAACACAAACATCACAGAGAAGTTTCTGAGAATGCTTCTGTTTAGCTTTTCTGTGAAGATTCTCCCGTTTCCAACGAAATCTTCAAAGAGGTCGAAATATCCACTTGCAGATTCCACAGAAAGAGTGATTGGAAACTGCTGTTTGAAAAGGAACCTTCAACTCTGTGAGTTGAATGCAATCATCACAAAGAAGTTTCTGGCAATGATTCTATCTAGCTTTTACGGGAAGATAATTCCTTTTCCACCACAGGCCTCAAAGCCCTCCAAATGTCCACTTGCACATTCTGGAAAAAGAGTGTTTCAAAGCTTCTCTCTCGAAAGGAAAGTTCAACTCTGTGAGTTGAATGCAAGCATCACAAAGAAGTTTCTGAGAATGCTACTGTCTAGCTTTTATATGAAGCTATTTCCTTTACTACCATAGGCCTCAAAGCGGTCCATATCTCCACTTGCAGATTCTACACAAAGAGAGTTTCCAAACTGCTCTCTCAAAGGGAATGTTCAACTCTGTGACTTGAATGCAATCATCACAAAGTAGTTTCTGAGAATGCTTCTGTTTAGTTCTGTGCGGTTTATCCCGTTTCCAACGAAATCCTCAGAGAGGCCTAAATATCCACTTGCACATTCTACAAATAGTGTGTTTCGAAACTGCTCCATCCAAAGGAATGTTCAGCTCTGTGAGTTAAACTCAGTCGTCACCAAGAGTTTTCTGTGAATGCTTCTGTTTTAGTTCTGTGCGGGTTATCCCGTTTCCAACGAAATCCTCAGAGAGGTCCAAATATCTACTTGCAGTTTCTACAGAAAGACCGTTTCAAACCTGAACTATCAAAGAAAGGTTCAACACTGTGAGTTGAATGCAAACATCACGAAGAAGGTTCTGAGAATGCTTCTGTTTAGTTCTGTGCAGTTTATCCCGTTTCCAACGAAATGCTCAGAGAGGACCAAATATCCACTTGCAGTTTCTACAAAAAGAGTGTTTCAAAGCTGAACTATCAAAGAAAGGTTCAGCACTGTGAGTTGAATGCAAACATCACGAAGAGGGTTCTGAGAATGCTTCTGTCTTCTTTCTATAGGAAGTTATTTCCTTTACTACGGTAGGCCTCAAAGAAGTGCAATTATCCCCTTGCAGTTTCTACAAAAAGAGTGTTTCAAACCTGAACTATCAAAGAAAGGTTCCACACTGTGAGTTGAATGCAGACATCACGAAGAAGGTTCTGAGAATGCTTCTGTTTAGTCAGCTGAAATTATCCCGTTTCCAACGAATTCCTCAGAGAGGTCCAAATATGCACTTGCAGCTTCTGCAGAAAGTGTGTTTCTAAACTGCTACATCGCAAGGAATGTTCAGCTCTGTGAGTTCAACTCAATCATGCCAAAGAATTTTCTGAGAAAGCTTCTGTCTAGATGTCATGTGAAGATATACCCGTTTCGAACGAAGGACACAGAGTGGTCCAAATATCCACTTGTAGATCCTGCAAAAAGAGTGTTTCAAACGTGAACTTTGAAAGGAAAGTTCAACTCTGGGATTTGAATGCAAACATCACAAAGAAGATTCTGAGACTGCTTCTGTATAGTTTTTATGTGAAGATGATTCCGTTTCCAACGAAATCTTCAAAGAGGTCTTCATGTCCCCTTGTAGATGCCACAGAAAGAGAGTTTCAAAACTGCGCTCTCAAAAGGAGTGTTCAACTCCGTGAGTTGAATGCAGTCATCACAGAGAAGCTTCTGAGAATGCTTCTCTCTACTATTTAGGTGAAGATATTTCCTTTTCCACCACAAACCACAAAGCCCTCCAAACGTCCACCTGCAGATTCTAGAAAAAGAGTGTTTCACAGCTGCTCTTTCCAAAGGAAAGTTCAACTCTGGGAGTTGAATACAAACATCACCAAAAAGTTCCTGAGAATGCATCTGTCTAGTTTTTCTATGAAGCTATTCCCTTTACTACCACAGGCCTCAAAGCGCTCCAAATCTCCACTTGCACATTCCACAACAAGAGTGTTTCCAAACTGCTCTATCAATAGGAATGTTCAACTCTGTGAGGTGAATGCAATCATCACAAAGCAGTTTCTGAGAATGCTTCCGTTTAGTTAGGTGCAGTTATCCCGTTTCCAACGAAATCCTCAGAGAGGTCCAAATATCCACTTGTAGATTCTACAAAAAGTGTGTCTCAAACCTGCTCCATCCAAAGGAATGTTCAGCTCTGTGATTTAAACTCAATCATCACAAAGTATTTTCTGAGAATGCTTCTGTCTAGATTTTATGCGAAGATATACCCGTTTCGAACGAAGGCCACAGAGTGGTCCAAATAGCCACTTGCAGATCCTACAGAAAGAGTGTTTCAAACCTGAACTATCAAAGGAAGGTTCAACTCTGGGATTTGAATGCAAACATCACCAAGAAGTTTCTGAGAATGCTTCTGTTTAGTTTTTATGTGAAGATATTCCCGTTTCCAAAGACATCTTCGGAGAGGTCCACGTAGCCACTTGCAGATTCCACAAAAAGAGAGTTTCAACACTGCTCTATCCATAGGAGGGTTCAACTCTGTGAGTTGAATGCAATCATCACAGAGAATTTTCTGTGAAGGCTTCTCTCCGTTTTTATGTGACCATAATTCGTTTTCCACCACAGGCCTGAAAGCGCTCCAAATGTCCACTTGTAGACACTACGAAAAGCATGTTTCAGAACTACTCTATGAAAAGCAATGTGAAACTCTGGGAGTTGAACACAAACATCACAGAGAAGTTTCTGAGAATGCTTCTGTTTTAGTTCTGTGCGTTTTATCCCGTTTCCAACGAAATCCTCAGAGAGGCCCAAATATCCACTTGCAGATTCCACAGAAAGAGTGATTGGAAACTGCTGTTTGAAAAGGAACCTTCAACTCTGTGAGTTGAATGCAATCATCACAAAGAAGTTTCTGACAATGCTTCTATCTAGCTTTTACGGGAAGATAATTCCTTTTCCACCACAGGCCTCAAAGCCCTCCAAATGTCCACTTGCAGATTCTGGAAAAAGAGTGTTTCAAAGCTTCTCTCTCGAAAGGAAAGTTCAACTCTGTGAGTTGAATGCAAGCATCACAAAGAAGTTTCTGAGAATGCTACTGTCTAGCTTTTATATGAAGCTATTTCCTTTACTACCATAGGCCTCAAAGCGGTCCATATCTCCACTTGCAGATTCTACACAAAGAGAGTTTCCAAACTGCTCTGTCAAAGGGAATGTTCAACTCTGTGACTTGAATGCAATCATCACAAAGTAGTTTCTGAGAATGCTTCTGTTTAGTTCTGTGCGGTTTATCCCGTTTCCAACGAAATCCTCAGAGAGGCCTAAATATCCACTTGCACATTCTACAAATAGTGTGTTTCGAAACTGCTCCATCCAAAGGAATGTTCAGCTCTGTGAGTTAAACTCAGTCGTCACCAAGAGTTTTCTGTGAATGCTTCTGTTTTAGTTCTGTGCGGGTTATCCCGTTTCCAACGAAATCCTCAGAGAGGTCCAAATATCTACTTGCAGTTTCTACAGAAAGACCGTTTCAAACCTGAACTATCAAAGAAAGGTTCAACACTGTGAGTTGAATGCAAACATCACGAAGAAGGTTCTGAGAATGCTTCTGTTTAGTTCTGTGCGGTTTATCCCGTTTCCAACGAAATCCTCAGAGAGGACCAAATATCCACTTGCAGTTTCTACAAGAAGAGTGTTTCAAAGCTGAACTATCAAAGAAAGGTTCAGCACTGTGAGTTGAATGCAAACATCACGAAGAGGGTTCTGAGAATGCTTCTGTCTTCTTTCTATAGGAAGTTATTTCCTTTACTACGGTAGGCCTCAAAGAAGTGCAATTACCCCCTTGCAGTTTCTACAAAAAGAGTGTTTCAAACCTGAACTATCAAAGAAAGGTTCCACACTGTGAGTTGAATGCAGACATCACGAAGAAGGTTCTGAGAATGCTTCTGTTTAGTCAGCTGAAATTATCCCGTTTCCTACGAATTCCTCAGAGAGGTCCACATATGCACTTGCAGATTCTGCAGAAAGTGTGTTTCTAAACTGCTACATCGCAAGGAGTGTTCAGCTCTGTTTGCTCAACTCAATCATCCCAAAGAATTTTCTGAGAAAGCTTCTGTCTAGATGTCATGTGAAGATATACCCGTTTCGAACGAAGGACACAGAGTGGTCCAAATATCCACTTGTAGATCCTGCAAAAAGAGTGTTTCAAACGTGAACTTTGAAAGGAAAGTTCAACTCTGGGATTTGAATGCAAACATCACAAAGAAGATTCTGAGACTGCTTCTGTATAGTTTTTATGTGAAGATGATTCCGTTTCCAACGAAATCTTCAAAGAGGTCTACATGTCCCCTTGCAGATGCCACAGAAAGAGAGTTTCAAAACTGCGCTCTCAAAAGGAGTGTTCAACTCCGTGAGTTGAATGCAGTCATCACAGAGAAGCTTCTGAGGATGCTTCTATCTAGTATTTAGGTGAAGATATTTCCTTTTCCACCACAAACCACAAAGCCCTCCAAACGTCCACTTGCAGATTCTAGAAAAAGAGTGTTTCATAGCTGCTCTTTCCAAAGGAAAGTTCAACTCTGGGAGTTGAATACAAACATCACCAAAAAGTTCCTGAGAATGCATCCTGTCTAGTTTTTCTATGAAGCTATTCCCTTTACTACCATAGGCCTCAAAGCGCTCCAAATCTCCACTTGCACATTCCACAACAAGAGTGTTTCCAAACTGCTCTATCAATAGGAATGTTCAACTCTGTGAGGTGAATGCAATCATCACAAAGCAGTTTCTGAGAATGCTTCCGTTTAGTTAGGTGCAGTTATCCCGTTTCCAACGAAATCCTCAGAGAGGTCCAAATATCCACTTGTAGATTCTACAAAAAGTGTGTCTCAAACCTGCTCCATCCAAAGGAATGGTCAGCTCTGTGATTTAAACTCAATCATCACAAAGTATTTTCTGAGAATGCTTCTGTCTAGATTTTATGCGAAGATATACCCGTTTCGAACGAAGGCCACAGAGTGGTCCAAATAGCCACTTGCAGATCCTACAGAAAGAGTGTTTCAAACCTGAACTATCAAAGGAAGGTTCAACTCTGGGATTTGAATGCAAACATCACCAAGAAGTTTCTGAGAATGCTTCTGTTTAGTTTTTATGTGAAGATATTCCCGTTTCCAAAGACATCTTCGGAGAGGTCCACATATCCACTTGCAGATTCCACAAAAAGAGAGTTTCAACACTGCTCTATCCATAGGAGGGTTCAACTCTGTGAGTTGAATGCAATCATCACAGAGAAGTTTCTGAGAAGGCTTCTCTCCAGTTTTTTTGTGACCATAATTCGTTTTCCACCACTGGCCTGAAAGCGCTCCAAACGTCCACTTGCAGACACTACGAAAAGCATGTTTCAGAACTACTCTATGAAAAGCAATGTGAAACTCTGGGAGTTGAACACAAACATCACAGAGAAGTTTCTGAGAAAGCTTCTGTTTAGCTTTTATGTGAAGATTCTCCCGTTTCCAACGAAATCTTCCAAGAGGTCCAAACATCCACTTGCAGATTCCACAGAAAGGGTGTTTGGAAACTGCTGTTTGAAAAGGAACCTTCAACTCTGTGAGTTGAATGCAATCATCACAAAGAAGTTTCTGACAATGCTTCTATCTAGCTTTTACGGGAAGATAATTCCTTTTCCACCACAGGCCTCAAAGCCCTCCAAATGTCCACTTGCAGATTCTGGAAAAAGAGTGTTTCAAAGCTTCTCTCTCGAAAGGAAAGTTCAACTCTGTGAGTTGAATGCAAGCATCAAAAAGAAGTTTCTGAGAATACTACTGTCTAGCTTTTATATGAAGCTATTTCCTTTACTACCATAGGCCTCAAAGCGGTCCATATCTCCACTTGCAGATTCTACACAAAGAGAGTTTCCAAACTGCTCTGTCAAAGGGAATGTTCAACTCTGTGACTTGAATGCAATCATCACAAAGTAGTTTCTGAGAATGCTTCTGTTTAGTTCTGTGCGGTTTATCCCGTTTCCAACGAAATCCTCAGAGAGGCCCAAATATCCACTTGCACATTCTACAAATAGTGTGTTTCGAAACTGCTCCATCCAAAGGAATGTTCAGCTCTGTGAGTTAAACTCAGTCGTCACCAAGAGTTTTCTGTGAATGCTTCTGTTTTAGTTCTGTGCGGTTTATCCCGTTTCCAACGAAATCCTCAGAGAGGTCCAAATATCTACTTGCAGTTTCTACAGAAAGACCGTTTCCAACCTGAACTATCAAAGAAAGGTTCAACACTGTGAGTTGAATGCAAACATCACGAAGAAGGTTCTGAGAATGCTTCTGTTTAGTTCTGTGCGGTTTATCCCGTTTCCAACGAAATCCTCAGAGAGGACCAAATATCCACTTGCAGTTTCTACAAGAAGAGTGTTTCAAAGCTGAACTATCAAAGAAAGGTTCAGCACTGTGAGTTGAATGCAAACATCACGAAGAGGGTTCTGAGAATGCTTCTGTCTTCTTTCTATAGGAAGTTATTTCCTTTACTACGGTAGGCCTCAAAGAAGTGCAATTATCCCCTTGCAGTTTCTACAAAAAGAGTGTTTCAAACCTGAACTATCAAAGAAAGGTTCCACACTGTGAGTTGAATGCACACATCACGAAGAAGGTTCTGAGAATGCTTCTGTTTAGTCAGCTGAAATTATCCCGTTTCCAACGAATTCCTCAGAGAGGTCCAAATATGCACTTGCAGATTCTGCAGAAAGTGTGTTTCTAAACTGCTACATCGGAAGGAATGTTCAGCTCTGTGAGTTCAACTCAATCAACCCAAAGAATTTTCTGAGAAAGCTTCTGTCTAGATGTCATGTGAAGATATACCCGTTTCGAACGTAGGACACAGAGTGGTCGAAATATCCACTTGTAGATCCTGCAAAAAGAGTGTTTCAAACGTGAACTTTGAAAGGAAAGTTCAACTCTGGGATTTGAATGCAAACATCACAAAGAAGATTCTGAGACTGCTTCTGTATAGTTTTTATGTGAAGATGATTCCGTTTCCAACGAAATCTTCAAAGAGGTCTACATGTCCCCTTGCAGATGCCACAGAAAGAGAGTTTCAAAACTGCGCTCTCAAAAGGAGTGTTCAACTCCGTGAGTTGAATGCAGTCATCACAGAGAAGCTTCTGAGAATGCTTCTATCTAGTATTTAGGTGAAGATATTTCCTTTTCCACCACAAACCACAAAGCCCTCCAAACGTCCACTTGCAGATTCTAGAAAAAGAGTGTTTCATAGCTGCTCTTTCCAAAGGAAAGTTCAACTCTGGGAGTTGAATACAAACATCACCAAAAAGTTCCTGAGAATGCATCTGTCTAGTTTTTCTATGAAGCTATTCCCTTTACTACCATAGGCCTCAAAGCGCTCCAAATCTCCACTTGCACATTCCACAACAAGAGTGTTTCCAAACTGCTCTATCAATAGGAATGTTCAACTCTGTGAGGTGAATGCAATCATCACAAAGCAGTTTCTGAGAATGCTTCCGTTTAGTTAGGTGCAGTTATCCCGTTTCCAACGAAATCCTCAGAGAGGTCCAAATATCCACTTGTAGATTCTACAAAAAGTGTGTCTCAAACCTGCTCCATCCAAAGGAATGGTCAGCTCTGTGATTTAAACTCAATCATCACAAAGTATTTTCTGAGAATGCTTCTGTCTAGATTTTATGCGAAGATGTACCCGTTTCGAACGAAGGCCACAGAGTGGTCCAAATATCCACTTGCAGATCCTACAAAAAGAGTGTTTCAAACCTGAACTATCAAAGGAAGGTTCAACTCTGGGATTTGAATGCAAACATCACCAAGAAGTTTCTGAGAATGCTTCTGTTTAGTTTTTATGTGAAGATATTCCCGTTTCCAAAGAACATCTTCGGAGAGGTCCACATATCCACTTGCAGATTCCACAAAAAGAGAGTTTCAACACTGCTCTATCCATAGGAGGGTTCAACTCTGTGAGTTGAATGCAGTCATCACAGAGAAGTTTCTGAGAAGGCTTCTCTCCAGTTTTTATGTGACCATAATTCGTTTTCCACCACAGGCCTGGAAGCGCTCCAAATGTCCACTTGTAGACACTACGAAAAGCATGTTTCAGAACTACTCTATGAAAAGCAATGTGAAACTCTGGGAGTTGAACACAAACATCACAGAGAAGTTTCTGAGAATCCTTCTGTTTAGCTTTCCTGTGAAGATTCTCCCGTTTCCAACGAAATCTTCAAAATAGGTCCAAATATCCACTTGCAGATTCCACAGAAAGAGTGATTGGAAACTGCTCTTTGAAAAGGAACCTTCAACTCTGTGAGTTGAATGCAATCATCACAAAGAAGTTTCTGACAATGCTTCTATCTAGCTTTTACGGGAAGTTAATTCCTTTTCCACCACAGGCCTCAAAGCCCTCCAAATGTCCACTTGCAGATTCTGGAAAAAGAGTGTTTCAAAGCTTCTCTCTCGAAAGGAAAGTTCAACTCTGTGAGTTGAATGCAAGCATCACAAAGAAGTTTCTGAGAATGCTACTGTCTAGCTTTTATATGAAGCTATTTCCTTTACTACCATAGGCCTCAAAGCGGTCCATATCTCCACTTGCAGATTCTACACAAAGAGAGTTTCCAAACTGCTCTGTCAAAGGGAATGTTCAACTCTGTGACTTGAATGCAATCATCACAAAGTAGTTTCTGAGAATGCTTCTGTTTAGTTCTGTGCGGTTTATCCCGTTTCCAACGAAATCCTCAGAGAGGCCTAAATATCCACTTGCACATTCTACAAATAGTGTGTTTCGAAACTGCTCCATCCAAAGGAATGTTCAGCTCTGTGAGTTAAACTCAGTCGTCACCAAGAGTTTTCTGTGAATGCTTCTGTTTTAGTTCTGTGCGGGTTATCCCGTTTCCAACGAAATCCTCAGAGAGGTCCAAATATCTACTTGCAGTTTCTACAGAAAGACCGTTTCAAACCTGAACTATCAAAGAAAGGTTCAACACTGTGAGTTGAATGCAAACATCACGAAGAAGGTTCTGAGAATGCTTCTGTTTAGTTCTGTGCGGTTTATCCCGTTTCCAACGAAATCCTCAGAGAGGACCAAATATCCACTTGCAGTTTCTACAAGAAGAGTGTTTCAAAGCTGAACTATCAAAGAAAGGTTCAGCACTGTGAGTTGAATGCAAACATCACGAAGAGGGTTCTGAGAATGCTTCTGTCTTCTTTTTATAGGAAGTTATTTCCTTTACTACGGTACTCCTCAAAGAGTGCAATTATCCCCTTGCAGTTTCTACAAAAAGAGTGTTTCAAACCTGAACTATCAAAGAAAGGTTCCACACTGTGAGTTGAATGCAGACATCACGAAGAAGGTTCTGAGAATGCTTCTGTTTAGTCAGCTGAAATTATCCCGTTTCCAACGAATTCCTCAGAGAGGTCCAAATATGCACTTGCAGATTCTGCAGAAAGTGTGTTTCTAAACTGCTACATCGCAAGGAATGTTCAGCTCTGTGAGTTCCACTCAATCATCCCAAAGAATTTTCTGAGAAAGCTTCTGTCTAGATGTCATGTGAAGATATACCCGTTTCGAACGAAGGACACAGAGTGGTCCAAATATCCACTTGTAGATCCTGCAAAAAGAGTGTTTCAAACGTGAACTTTGAAAGGAAAGTTCAACTCTGGGATTTGAATGCAAACATCACAAAGAAGATTCTGAGACTGCTTCTGTATAGTTTTGATGTGAAGATGATTCCGTTTCCAACGAAATCTTCAAAGAGGTCTACATGTCCCCTTGCAGATGCCACAGAAAGAGAGTTTCAAAACTGCGCTCTCAAAAGGAGTGTTCAACTCCGTGAGTTGAATGCAGTCATCACAGAGAAGCTTCTGAGAATGCTTCTGTCTAGTATTTAGGTGAAGATATTTCCTTTTCCACCACAAACCACAAAGCCCTCCAAACGTCCACTTGCAGATTCTAGAAAAAGAGTGTTTCATAGCTGCTCTTTCCAAAGGAAAGTTCAACTCTGGGAGTTGAATACAAACATCACCAAAAAGTTCCTGAGAATGCATCTGTCTAGTTTTTCTATGAAGCTATTCCCTTTACTACCATAGGCCTCAAAGCGCTCCAAATCTCCACTTGCACATTCCACAACAAGAGTGTTTCCAAACTGCTCTATCAATAGGAATGTTCAACTCTGTGAGGTGAATGCAATCATCACAAAGCAGTTTCTGAGAATGCTTCCGTTTAGTTAGGTGCAGTTATCCCGTTTCCAACGAAATCCTCAGAGAGGTCCAAATATCCACTTGTAGATTCTACAAAAAGTGTGTCTCAAACCTGCTCCATCCAAAGGAATGGTCAGCTCTGTGATTTAAACTCAATCATCACAAAGTATTTTCTGAGAATGCTTCTGTCTAGATTTTATGCGAAGATGTACCCGTTTCGAACGAAGGCCACAGAGTGGTCCAAATATCCACTTGCAGATCCTACAAAAAGAGTGTTGCAAACCTGAACTATGAAAGGAAGGTTCAACTCTGGGATTTGAATGCAAACATCACCAAGAAGTTTCTGAGAATGCTTCTGTTTAGTTTTTATGTGAAGATATTCCCGTTGCCAAAGACATCTTCGGAGAGGTCCACATATCCGCTTGCAGATTCCACAAAAAGAGAGTTTCAACACTGCTCTATCCATAGGAGGGTTCAACTCTGTGAGTTGAATGCAATCATCACAGAGAAGTTTCTGAGAAGGCTTCTCTCCAGTTTTTATGTGACCATAATTCGTTTTCCACCACAGGCCTGAAAGCGCTCCAAATGTCCACTTGCAGACACTACGAAAAGCATGTTTCAGAACTACTCTATGAGAAGCAATGTGAAACTCCGGGAGTTGAACACAAACATCACAGAGAAGTTTCTGAGAATGCTTCTGTTTAGCTTTTCTGTGAAGATTCTCCCGTTTCCAACGAAATCTTCAAAGAGGTCCAAATATCCACTTGCAGATTCCACAGAAAGAGTGATTGGAAACTGCTCTTTGAAAAGGAACCTTCAACTCTGTGACTTGAATGCAATCATCACAAAGAAGTTTCTGACAATGCTTCCATCTAGCTTTTACGGGAAGATAATTCCTTTTCCACCACAGGCCTCAAAGCCCTCCAAATGTCCACTTGCAGATTCTGGAAAAAGAGTGTTTCAAAGCTTCTCTCTCGAAAGGAAAGTTCAACTCTGTGAGTTGAATGCAAGCATCACAAAGAAGTTTCTGAGAATGCTACTGTCTAGCTTTTATATGAAGCTATTTCCTTTACTACCATAGGCCTCAAAGCGGTCCATATCTCCACTTGCAGATTCTACACAAAGAGAGTTTCCAAACTGCTCTGTCAAAGGGAATGTTCAACTCTGTGACTTGAATGCAATCATCACAAAGTAGTTTCTGAGAATGCTTCTGTTTAGTTCTGTGCGGTTTATCCCGTTTCCAACGAAATCCTCAGAGAGGCCCAAATATCCACTTGCACATTCTACAAATAGTGTGTTTCGAAACTGCTCCATCCAAAGGAATGTTCAGCTCTGTGAGTTAAACTCAGTCGTCACCAAGAGTTTTCTGTGAATGCTTCTGTTTTAGTTCTGTGCGGTTTATCCCGTTTCCAACGAAATCCTCAGAGAGGTCCAAATATCTACTTGCAGTTTCTACAGAAAGACCGTTTCAAACCTGAACTATCAAAGAAAGGTTCAACACTGTGAGTTGAATGCAAACATCACGAAGAATTTTCTGAGAATGCTTCTGTTTTAGTTCTGTGCGGTTTATCCCGTTTCCAACGAAATCCTCAGAGAGGACCAAACATCCACTTGCAGTTTCTACAAAAAGAGTGTTTCAAAGCTGCACTATCAAAGAAAGGTTCAGCACTGTGAGTTGAATGCAAACATCACGAAGAGGGCTCTGAGAATTCTTCTGTCTTCTTTCTATAGGAAGTTATTTCCTTTACTACGGTAGGCCTCAAAGAAGTGCAATTATCCCCTTGCAGTTTCTACAAAAAGAGTGTTTCAAACCTGAACTATCAAAGAAAGGTTCCACACTGTGAGTTGAATGCAGACATCACGAAGAAGGTTCTGAGAATGCTTCTGTTTAGTCAGCTGAAATTATCCCGTTTCCAACGAATTCCTCAGAGAGGTCCAAATATGCACTTGCAGATTCTGCAGAAAGTGTGTTTCTAAACTGCTCCATCGCAAGGAATGTTCAGCTCTGTGAGTTCCACTCAATCATCCCAAAGAATTTTCTGAGAAAGCTTCTGTCTAGATGTCGTGTGAAGATATACCCGTTTCGAACGAAGGACACAGAGTGGTCCAAATATCCACTTGTAGATCCTGCAAAAAGAGTGTTTCAAACGTGAACTTTGAAAGGAAAGTTCAACTCTGGGATTTGAATGCAAACATCACAAAGAAGATTCTGAGACTGCTTCTGTATAGTTTTTATGTGAAGATGATTCCGTTTCCAACGAAATCTTCAAAGAGGTCTACATGTCCCCTTGCAGATGCCACAGAAAGAGAGTTTCAAAACTGCGCTCTCAAAAGGAGTGTTCAACTCCGTGAGCTGAATGCAGTCATCACAGAGAAGCTTCTGAGAATGCTTCTATCTAGTATTTAGGTGAAGATATTTCCTTTTCCACCACAAACCACAAAGCCCTCCAAACGTCCACTTGCAGATTCTAGAAAAAGAGTGTTTCATAGCTGCTCTTTCCAAAGGAAAGTTCAACTCTGGGAGTTGAATACAAACATCACCAAAAAGTTCCTGAGAATGCATCTGTCTAATTTTTCTATGAAGCTATTGCCTTTACTACCATAGGCCTCAAAGCGCTCCAAATCTCCACTTGCACATTCCACAACAAGAGTGTTTCCAAACTGCTCTATCAATAGGAATGTTCAACTCTGTGAGGTGAATGCAATCATCACAAAGCAGTTTCTGAGAATGCTTCCGTTTAGTTAGGTGCAGTTATCCCGTTTCCAACGAAATCCTCAGAGAGGTCCAAATATCCACTTGTAGATTCTACAAAAAGTGTGTCTCAAACCTGCTCCATCCAAAGGAATGTTCAGCTCTGTGAGTTCAACTCAATCATCACAAAGTATTTTCTGAGAATGCTTCTGTCTAGATTTTATGCGAAGATGTACCCGTTTCGAACGAAGGCCACAGAGTGGTCCAAATATCCACTTGCAGATCCTACAAAAAGAGGGTTTCAAACCTGAACTCTCAAAGGAAGGTTCAACTCTGGGATTTGAATGCAAACATCACCAAGAAGTTTCTGAGAATGCTTCTGTTTAGTTTTTATGTGAAGATATTCCCGTTTCCAAAGACATCTTCGGAGAGGTCCACATATCCACTTGCAGATTCCACAAAAAGAGAGTTTCAACAATGCTCTATCCATAGGAGGGTTCAAATCTGTGAGTTGAATGCAATCATCACAGAGAAGTTTCTGAGAAGGCTTCTCTCCAGTTTTTATGTGACCATAATTCGTTTTCCACCACAGGCCTGAAAGCGCTCCAAATGTCCACTTGCAGACACTACGAAAAGCATGTTTCAGAACTACTCTATGAAAAGCAACGTGAAACTCTGGGAGTTGAACACAAACATCACAGAGAAGTTTCTGAGAATGCTTCTGTTTAGCTTTTCTGTGAAGATTCTCCCGTTTCCAACGAAATCTTCAAAGAGGTCCAAATATCCACTTGCAGATTCCACAGAAAGAGTGATTGGAAACTGCTCTTTGAAAAGGAACCTTCAACTCTGTGACTTGAATGCAATCATCACAAAGAAGTTTCTGACAATGCTTCTATCTAGCTTTTAGGGAAGATAATTCCTTTTCCACCACAGGCCTCAAAGCCCTCCAAATGTCCACTTGCAGATTCTGGAAAAAGAGTGTTTCAAAGCTTCTCTCTCGAAAGGAAAGTTCAACTCTGTGAGTTGAATGCAAGCATCACAAAGAAGTTTCTGAGAATGCTACTGTCTAGCTTTTATATGAAGCTATTTCCTTTACTACCATAGGCCTCAAAGCGGTCCATATCTCCACTTGCAGATTCTACACAAAGAGAGTTTCCAAACTGCTCTGTCAAAGGGAATGTTCAACTCTGTGACTTGAATGCAATCATCACAAAGTAGTTTCTGAGAATGCTTCTGTTTAGTTCTGTGCGGTTTATCCCGTTTCCAACGAAATCCTCAGAGAGGCCCACATATCCACTTGCACATTCTACAAATAGTGTGTTTCGAAACTGCTCCATCCAAAGGAATGTTCAGCTCTGTGAGTTAAACTCAGTCGTCACCAAGAGTTTTCTGTGAATGCTTCCGTTTTAGTTCTGTGCGGTTTATCCCGTTTCCAACGAAATCCTCAGAGAGGTCCAAATATCCACTTGCAGTTTCTACAAAAGGAGTGTTTCAAAGCTGAACTATCAAAGAAAGGTTCAGCACTGTGAGTTGAATGCAAACATCACGAAGAAGGTTCTGAGAATGCTTCTGTCTTCTTTTTATAGGAAGTTATCTCCTTTACTACGGTAGGCCTCAAAGAAGTGCAGTGATCCCCTTGCAGTTTCTACAAAAAGAGTGTTTCAAACCTGAACTATCAAAGAAAGGTTCCACACTGTGAGTTGAATGCAGACATCACGAAGAAGGTTCTGAGAATGCTTCTGTTTAGTCAGCTGAAATTATCCCGTTTCCAACGAATTCCTCAGAGAGGTCCACATATGCACTTGCAGATTCTGCAGAAAGTGTGTTTCTAAACTGCTACATCGCAAGGAGTGTTCAGCTCTGTTTGCTCAACTCAATCATCCCAAAGAATTTTCTGAGAAAGCTTCTGTCTAGATGTCATGTGAAGATATACCCGTTTCGAACGAAGGACACAGAGTGGTCCAAATATCCACTTGTAGATCCTGCAAAAAGAGTGTTTCAAACGTGAACTTGGAAAGGAAAGTTCAACTCAGGGATTTGAATGCAAACATCACAAAGAAGATTCTGAGACTGCTTCTGTATAGTTTTGATGTGAAGATGATTCCGTTTCCAACGAAATCTTCAAAGAGGTCTACATGTCCCCTTGCAGATGCCACAGAAAGAGAGTTTCAAAACTGCGCTCTCAAAAGGAGTGTTCAACTCCGTGAGTTGAATGCAGTCATCACAGAGAAGCTTCTGAGAATGCTTCTATCTAGTATTTAGGTGAAGATATTTCCTTTTCCACCACAAACCACAAAGCCCTCCAAACGTCCACTTGCAGATTCTAGAAAAAGAGTGTTTCATAGCTGCTCTTTCCAAAGGAAAGTTCAACTCTGGGAGTTGAATACAAACATCACCAAAAAGTTCCTGAGAATGCATCTGTCTAGTTTTTCTATGAAGCTATTCCCTTTACTACCATAGGCCTCAAAGCGCTCCAAATCTCCACTTGCACATTCCACAACAAGAGTGTTTCCAAACTGCTCTATCAATAGGAATGTTCAACTCTGTGAGGTGAATGCAATCATCACAAAGCAGTTTCTGAGAATGCTTCCGTTTAGTTAGGTGCAGTTATCCCGTTTCCAACGAAATCCTCAGAGAGGTCCAAATATCCACTTGTAGATTCTACAAAAAGTGTGTCTCAAACCTGCTCCATCCAAAGGAATGGTCAGCTCTGTGATTTAAACTCAATCATCACAAAGTATTTTCTGAGAATGCTTCTGTCTAGATTTTATGCGAAGATATACCCGTTTCGAACGAAGGCCACAGAGTGGTCCAAATAGCCACTTGCAGATCCTACAGAAAGAGTGTTTCAAACCTGAACTATCAAAGGAAGGTTCAACTCTGGGATTTGAATGCAAACATCACCAAGAAGTTTCTGAGAATGCTTCTGTTTAGTTTTTATGTGAAGATATTCCCGTTTCCAAAGACATCTTCGGAGAGGTCCACATATCCACTTGCAGATTCCACAAAAAGAGAGTTTCAACACTGCTCTATCCATAGGAGGGTTCAACTCTGTGAGTTGAATGCAATCATCACAGAGAAGTTTCTGAGAAGGCTTCTCTCCAGTTTTTATGTGACCATAATTCGTTTTCCACCACAGGCCTGAAAGCGCTCCAAATGTCCACTTGTAGACACTACGAAAAGCATGTTTCAGAACTACTCTATGAAAAGCAATGTGAAACTCTGGGAGTTGAACACAAACATCACAGAGAAGTTTCTGAGAATGCTTCTGTTTAGCTTTCCTGTGAAGATTCTCCCGTTTCCAACGAAATCTTCAAAGAGGTCCAAATATCCACTTGCAGATTCCACAGAAAGAGTGATTGGAAACTGCTCTTTGAAAAGGAACCTTCAACCCTGTGAGTTGAATGCAATCATCACAAAGAAGTTTCTGACAATGCTTCTATCTAGCTTTTACGGGAAGTTAATTCCTTTTCCACCACAGGCCTCAAAGCCCTCCAAATGTCCACTTGCAGATTCTGGAAAAAGAGTGTTTCAAAGCTTCTCTCTCGAAAGGAAAGTTCAACTCTGTGAGTTGAATGCAAGCATCACAAAGAAGTTTCTGAGAATGCTACTGTCTAGTTTTTATATGAAGCTATTTCCTTTACTACCATAGGCCTCAAAGCGGTCCATATCTCAACTTGCAGACGCTACACAACGAGAGTTTCCAAAGTGCTCTGTCAAAGGGAATGTTCAACTCTGTGAGGTGAATGCAATCATCACAAAGTAGTTTCTGAGAATGCTTCTGTTTAGTTCTGTGCGGTTTATCCCGTTTCCAACGAAATCCTCAGAGAGGCCCAAATATCCACTTGCACATTCTACAAATAGTGTGTTTCGAAACTGCTCCATCCAAAGGAATGTTCAGCTACTGTGAGTTAAACTCAGTCGTCACCAAGAGTTTTCTGTGAATGCTTCTGTCTTCTTTTTATAGGAAGTTATTTCCTTTACTACGGTAGGCCTCAAAGAAGTGCAATTATCCCCTTGCAGTTTCTACAAAAAGAGTGTTTCAAACGTGAACTATCAAAGAAAGGTTCCACACTGTGAGTTGAATGCAGACATCACGAAGAAGGTTCTGAGAATGCTTCTGTTTAGTCAGCTGAAATTATCCCGTTTCCAACGAATTCCTCAGAGAGGTCCAAATATGCACTTGCAGATTCTTCAGAAAGTGTGTTTCTAAACTGCTACATCGCAAGGAATGTTCAGCTCTGTGAGTTCCACTCAATCATCCCAAAGAATTTTCTGAGAAAGCTTCTGTCTAGATGTCATGTGAAGATATACCCGTTTCGAACGAAGGACACAGAGTGGTCCAAATATCCACTTGTAGATCCTGCAAAAAGAGTGTTTCAAACGTGAACTTTGAAAGGAAAGTTCAACTCTGGGATTTGAATGCAAACATCACAAAGAATATTCTGAGACTCCTTCTGTATAGTTTTTATGTGAAGATGATTCCGTTTCCAACGAAATCTTCAAAGAGGTCTACATGTCCCCTTGCAGATGCCACAGAAAGAGAGTTTCAAAACTGCGCTCTCAAAAGGAGTGTTCAACTCCGTGAGTTGAATGCAGTCATCACAGAGAAGCTTCTGAGGATGCTTCTATCTAGTATTTAGGTGAAGATATTTCCTTTTCCACCACAAACCACAAAGCCCTCCAAACGTCCACTTGCAGATTCTAGAAAAAGAGTGTTTCATAGCTGCTCTTTCCAAAGGAAAGTTCAACTCTGGGAGTTGAATACAAACATCACCAAAAAGTTCCTGAGAATGCATCGGTCTAGTTTTTCTATGAAGCTATTCCCTTTACTACCATAGACCTCAAAGCGCTCCAAATCTCCACTTGCACATTCCACAACAAGAGTGTTTCCAAACTGCTCTATCAATAGGAATGTTCAACTCTGTGAGGTGAATGCAATCATCACAAAGCAGTTTCTGGGAATGCTTCCGTTTAGTTAGGTGCAGTTATCCCGTTTCCAACGAAATCCTCAGAGAGGTCCAAATATCCACTTGTAGATTCTACAAAAAGTGTGTCTCAAACCTGCTCCATCCAAAGGAATGTTCAGCTCTGTGAGTTCAACTCAATCATCACAAAGTATTTTCTGAGAATGCTTCTGTCTAGATTTTATGTGAAGATGTACCCGTTTCGAACGAAGGCCACAGAGTGGTCCAAATATCCACTTGCAGATCCTACAAAAAGAGTGTTTCAAACCTGAACTATCACAGGAAGGTTCAACTCTGGGATTTGAATGCAAACATCACCAAGAAGTTTCTGAGAATGCTTCTGTTTAGTTTTTATGTGAAGATATTCCCGTTTCCAAAGACATCTTCGGAGAGGTCCACATATCCACTTGCAGATTTCACAAAAAGAGAGTTTCAACACTGCTCTATCCATAGGAGGGTTCAACTCTGTGAGTTGAATGCAATCATCACAGAGAAGTTTCTGAGAAGGCTTCTCTCCAGTTTTTATGTGACCATAATTCGTTTTCCACCACAGGCCTGAAAGCGCTCCAAATGTCCACTTGCAGACACTACGAAAAGCATGTTTCAGAACTACACTATGAAAAGCAATGTGAAACTCTGGGAGTTGAACACAAACATCACAGAGAAGTTTCTGAGAATGCTTCTGTTTTAGTTCTGTGCGTTTTATCCCGTTTCCAACGAAATCCTCAGAGAGGCCCAAATATCCACTTGCAGATTCCACAGAAAGAGTGATTGGAAACTGCTGTTTGAAAAGGAACCTTCAACTCTGTGAGTTGAATGCAATCATCACAAAGAAGTTTCTGACAATGCTTCTATCTAGCTTTTACGGGAAGATAATTCCTTTTCCACCACAGGCCTCAAAGCCCTCCAAATGTCCACTTGCAGATTCTGGAAAAAGAGTGTTTCAAAGCTTCTCTCTCGAAAGGAAAGTTCAACTCTGTGAGTTGAATGCAAGCATCACAAAGAAGTTTCTGAGAATGCTACTGTCTAGCTTTTATATGAAGCTATTTCCTTTACTACCATAGGCCTCAAAGCGGTCCATATCTCCACTTGCAGATTCTACACAAAGAGAGTTTCCAAACTGCTCTGTCAAAGGGAATGTTCAACTCTGTGACTTGAATGCAATCATCACAAAGTAGTTTCTGAGAATGCTTCTGTTTAGTTCTGTGCGGTTTATCCCGTTTCCAACGAAATCCTCAGAGAGGCCTAAATATCCACTTGCACATTCTACAAATAGTGTGTTTCGAAACTGCTCCATCCAAAGGAATGTTCAGCTCTGTGAGTTAAACTCAGTCGTCACCAAGAGTTTTCTGTGAATGCTTCTGTTTTAGTTCTGTGCGGTTTATCCCGTTTCCAACGAAATCCTCAGAGAGGTCCAAATATCTACTTGCAGTTTCTACAGAAAGACCGTTTCAAACCTGAACTATCAAAGAAAGGTTCAACACTGTGAGTTGAATGCAAACATCACGAAGAAGGTTCTGAGAATGCTTCTGTTTAGTTCTGTGCGGTTTATCCCGTTTCCAACGAAATCCTCAGAGAGGACCAAATATCCACTTGTAGTTTCTACAAGAAGAGTGTTTCAAAGCTGAACTATCAAAGAAAGGTTCAGCACTGTGAGTTGAATGCAAACATCACGAAGAGGGTTCTGAGAATGCTTCTGTCTTCTTTCTATAGGAAGTTATTTCCTTTACTACGGTAGGCCTCAAAGAAGTGCAATTATCCCCTTGCAGTTTCTACAAAAAGAGTGTTTCAAACCTGAACTATCAAAGAAAGGTTCCACACTGTGAGTTGAATGCAGACATCACGAAGAAGGTTCTGAGAATGCTTCTGTTTAGTCAGCTGAAATTATCCCGTTTCCAACGAATTCCTCACAGAGGTCCAAATATGCACTTGCAGATTCTGCAGAAAGTGTGTTTCTAAACTGCTACATCGCAAGGAATGCTCAGCTCTGTGAGTTCTACTCAATCATCCCAAAGAATTTTCTGAGAAAGCTTCTGTCTAGATGTCATGTGAAGATATACCCGTTTCGAACGAAGGACACAGAGTGGTCCAAATATCCACTTGTAGATCCTGCAAAAAGAGTGTTTCAAACGTGAACTTTGAAAGAAAAGTTCAACTCTGGGATTTGAATGCAAACATCACAAAGAAGATTCTGAGACTGCTTCTGTATAGTTTTTATGTGAAGATGATTCCGTTTCCAACGAAATCTTCAAAGAGGTCCACATGTCCCCTTGCGGATGCCACAGAAAGAGAGTTTCAAAACTGCGCTCTCAAAAGGAGTGTTCAACTCCGTGAGTTGAATGCAGTCATCACAGAGAAGCTTCTGAGAATGCTTCTCTCTAGTATTTAGGTGAAGATATTTCCTTTTCCACCACAAACCACAAAGCCCTCCAAACGTCCACTTGCAGATTCTAGAAAAAGAGTGTTTCATAGCTGCTCTTTCCAAAGGAAAGTTCAACTCTGGGAGTTGAATACAAACATCACCAAAAAGTTCCTGAGAATGCATCTGTCTAGTTTTTCTATGAAGCTATTCCCTTTACTACCACAGGCCTCAAAGCGCTCCAAATCTCCACTTGCACATTCCACAACAAGAGTGTTTCCAAACTGCTCTATCAATAGGAATGTTCAACTCTGTGAGGTGAATGCAATCATCACAAAGCAGTTTCTGAGAATGCTTCCGTTTAGTTAGGTGCAGTTATCCCGTTTCCAACGAAATCCTCAGAGAGGTCCAAATATCCACTTGTAGATTCTACAAAAAGTGTGTCTCAAACCTGCTCCATCCAAAGGAATGGTCAGCTCTGTGATTTAAACTCAATCATCACAAAGTATTTTCTGAGAATGCTTCTGTCTAGATTTTATGCGAAGATATACCCGTTTCGAACGAAGGCCACAGAGTGGTCCAAATAGCCACTTGCAGATCCTACAGAAAGAGTGTTTCAAACCTGAACTATCAAAGGAAGGTTCAACTCTGGGATTTGAATGCAAACATCACCAAGAAGTTTCTGAGAATGCTTCTGTTTAGTTTTTATGTGAAGATATTCCCGTTTCCAAAGACATCTTCGGAGAGGTCCACATATCCACTTGCAGATTCCACAAAAAGAGAGTTTCAACACTGCTCTATCCATAGGAGGGTTCAACTCTGTGAGTTGAATGCAATCATCACAGAGAAGTTTCTGAGAAGGCTTCTCTCCAGTTTTTATGTGACCATAATTCGTTTTCCACCACAGGCCTGAAAGCGCTCCAAATGTCCACTTGTAGACACTACGAAAAGCATGTTTCAGAACTACTCTATGAAAAGCAATGTGAAACTCTGGGAGTTGAACACAAACATCACAGAGAAGTTTCTGAGAATGCTTCTGTTTAGCTTTCCTGTGAAGATTCTCCCGTTTCCAACGAAATCTTCAAAATAGGTCCAAATATCCACTTGCAGATTCCACAGAAAGAGTGATTGGAAACTGCTCTTTGAAAAGGAACCTTCAACTCTGTGAGTTGAATGCAATCATCACAAAGAAGTTTCTGACAATGCTTCTATCTAGCTTTTACGGGAAGATAATTCCTTTTCCACCACAGGCCTCAAAGCCCTCCAAATGTCCACTTGCAGATTCTGGAAAAAGAGTGTTTCAAAGCTTCTCTCTCGAAAGGAAAGTTCAACTCTGTGAGTTGAATGCAAGCATCACAAAGAAGTTTCTGAGAATGCTACTGTCTAGCTTTTATATGAAGCTATTTCCTTTACTACCATAGGCCTCAAAGCGGTCCATATCTCCACTTGCAGATTCTACACAAAGAGAGTTTCCAAACTGCTCTGTCAAAGGGAATGTTCAACTCTGTGACTTGAATGCAATCATCACAAAGTAGTTTCTGAGAATGCTTCTGTTTAGTTCTGTGCGGTTTATCCCGTTTCCAACGAAATCCTCAGAGAGGCCTAAATATCCACTTGCACATTCTACAAATAGTGTGTTTCGAAACTGCTCCATCCAAAGGAATGTTCAGCTCTGTGAGTTAAACTCAGTCGTCACCAAGAGTTTTCTGTGAATGCTTCTGTTTTAGTTCTGTGCGGGTTATCCCGTTTCCAACGAAATCCTCAGAGAGGTCCAAATATCTACTTGCAGTTTCTACAGAAAGACCGTTTCAAACCTGAACTATCAAAGAAAGGTTCAACACTGTGAGTTGAATGCAAACATCACGAAGAAGGTTCTGAGAATGCTTCTGTTTAGTTCTGTGCGGTTTATCCCGTTTCCAACGAAATCCTCAGAGAGGACCAAATATCCACTTGCAGTTTCTACAAAAAGAGTGTTTCAAAGCTGCACTATCAAAGAAAGGTTCAGCACTGTGAGTTGAATGCAAACATCACGAAGAGGGCTCTGAGAATTCTTCTGTCTTCTTTTTATAGGAAGTTATTTCCTTTACTACGGTAGGCCTCAAAGAAGTGCAATTATCCCCTTGAAGTTTCTACAAAAAGAGTGTTTCAAACCTGAACTATCAAAGAAAGGTTCCACACTGTGAGTTGAATGCAGACATCAAGAAGAAGGTTCTGAGAATGCTTCTGTTTAGTCAGCTGAAATTATCCCGTTTCCAACGAATTCCTCACAGAGGTCCAAATATGCACTTGCAGATTCTGCAGAAAGTGTGTTTCTAAACTGCTACATCGCAAGGAATGCTCAGCTCTGTGAGTTCAACTCAATCATCCCAAAGAATTTTCTGAGAAAGCTTCTGTCTAGATGTCGTGTGAAGATATACCCGTTTCGAACGAAGGACACAGAGTGGTCCAAATATCCACTTGTAGATCCTGCAAAAAGAGTGTTTCAAACGTGAACTTTGAAAGGAAAGTTCAACTCTGGGATTTGAATGCAAACATCACAAAGAAGATTCTGAGACTGCTTCTGTATAGTTTTTATGTGAAGATGATTCCGTTTCCAACGAAATCTTCAAAGAGGTCTACATGTCCCCTTGCAGATGCCACAGAAAGAGAGTTTCAAAACTGCGCTCTCAAAAGGAGTGTTCAACTCCGTGAGTTGAATGCAGTCATCACAGAGAAGCTTCTGAGAATGCTTCTATCTAGTATTTAGGTGAAGATATTTCCTTTTCCACCACAAACCACAAAGCCCTCCAAACGTCCACTTGCAGATTCTAGAAAAAGAGTGTTTCATAGCTGCTCTTTCCAAAGGAAAGTTCAACTCTGGGAGTTGAATACAAACATCACCAAAAAGTTCCTGAGAATGCATCTGTCTAGTTTTTCTATGAAGCTATTCCCTTTACTACCACAGGCCTCAAAGCGCTCCAAATCTCCACTTGCACATTCCACAACAAGAGTGTTTCCAAACTGCTCTATCAATAGGAATGTTCAACTCTGTGAGGTGAATGCAATCATCACAAAGCAGTTTCTGAGAATGCTTCCGTTTAGTTAGGTGCAGTTATCCCGTTTCCAACGAAATCCTCAGAGAGGTCCAAATATCCACTTGTAGATTCTACAAAAAGTGTGTCTCAAACCTGCTCCATCCAAAGGAATGGTCAGCTCTGTGATTTAAACTCAATCATCACAAAGTATTTTCTGAGAATGCTTCTGTCTAGATTTTATGCGAAGATATACCCGTTTCGAACGAAGGCCACAGAGTGGTCCAAATATCCACTTGCAGATCCTACAAAAAGAGTGTTTCAAACCTGAACTATCAAAGGAAGGTTCAACTCTGGGATTTGAATGCAAACATCACCAAGAAGTTTCTGAGAATGCTTCTGTTTAGTTTTTATGTGAAGATATTCCCGTTTCCAAAGACATCTTCGGAGAGGTCCACATATCCACTTGCAGATTCCACAAAAAGAGAGTTTCAACACTGCTCTATCCATAGGAGGGTTCAACTCTGTGAGTTGAATGCAATCATCACAGAGAAGTTTCTGAGAAGGCTTCTCTCCAGTTTTTATGTGACCATAATTCGTTTTCCACCACAGGCCTGAAAGCGCTCCAAATGTCCACTTGCAGACACTACGAAAAGCATGTTTCAGAACTACTCTATGAGAAGCAATATGAAACTCTGGGAGTTGAACACAAACATCACAGAGAAGTTTCTGAGAATGCTTCTGTTTAGCTTTCCTGTGAAGATTCTCCCGTTTCCAACGAAATCTTCAAAATAGGTCCAAATATCCACTTGCAGATTCCACAGAAAGAGTGATTGGAAACTGCTCTTTGAAAAGGAACCTTCAACTACTGTGAGTTGAATGCAATCATCACAAAGAAGTTTCTGACAATGCTTCTCTCTAGTTTTTACGGGAAGATATTTCCTTTTCCAACACAGGCCTCAAAGCCCTCCAAATGTCCACTTGCAGATTCTAGAAAAAGAGTGTTTCAAAGCTTCTCTCTCAAAAGGAAAGTTCAACTCTATGAGTTCAATGCAAACATCACGAATAAGTTTCTGAGAATGCTACTGTCTAGCTTGTCTATGAAGCTATTTCCTTTACTACCATAGTCCTCAAAGCATTCCATATCTCCACTTGCAGATTCTACACAAAGAGAGTTTCCAAACTGCTCTGTCAAAGGGAATGTTCAGCTCTGTGACTTGAATGCAATCATCACAAAGTAGTTTCTCAGAATGCTTCTGTTTAGTTCTGTGCGGTTTATCCCGTTTCCAACGAAATCCTCAGAGAGGCCTAAATATCCACTTGCACATTCTACAAATAGTGTGTTTCGAAACTGCTCCATCCAAAGGAATGTTCAGCTCTGTGAGTTAAACTCAGTCGTCACCAAGAGTTTTCTGTGAATGCTTCTGTTTTAGTTCTGTGCGGTTTATCCCGTTTCCAACGAAATCCTCAGAGAGGTCCAAATATCTACTTGCAGTCTCTACACAAAGACCGTTTCAAACCTGAACTATCAAAGAAAGGTTCAACACTGTGAGTTGAATGCAAACATCACGAAGAAGGTTCTGAGAATGCTTCTGTTTAGTTCTGTGCGGTTTATCCCGTTTCCAACGAAATCCTCAGAGAGGACCAAATATCCACTTGCAGTTTCTACAAGAAGAGTGTTTCAAAGCTGAACTATCAAAGAAAGGTTCAGCACTGTGAGTTGAATGCAAACATCACGAAGAGGGTTCTGAGAATGCTTCTGTCTTCTTTTTATAGGAAGTTATTTCCTTTACTACGGTAGGCCTCAAAGAAGTGCAATTATCCCCTTACAGTTTCTACAAAAAGAGTGTTTCAAACCTGAACTATCAAAGAAAGGTTCCACACTGTGAGTTGAATGCAGACATCACGAAGAAGGTTCTGAGAATGCTTCTGTTTAGTCAGCTGAAATTATCCCGTTTCCAACGAATTCCTCACAGAGGTCCAAATATGCACTTGCAGATTCTGCAGAAAGTGTGTTTCTAAACTGCTACATCGCAAGGAATGCTCAGCTCTGTGAGTTCAACTCAATCATCCCAAAGAATTTTCTGAGAAAGCTTCTGTCTAGATGTCATGTGAAGATATACCCGTTTCGAACGAAGGACACAGAGTGGTCCAAATATCCACTTGCAGATCCTGCAAAAAGAGTGTTTCAAACGTGAACTTGGAAAGGAAAGTTCAACTCTGGGATTTGAATGCAAACATCACAAAGAAGATTCTGAGACTGCTTCTGTATAGTTTTGATGTGAAGATGATTCCGTTTCCAACGAAATCTTCAAAGAGGTCTACATGTCCCCTTGCAGATGCCACAGAAAGAGAGTTTCAAAACTGCGCTCTCAAAAGGAGTGTTCAACTCCGTGAGTTGAATGCAGTCATCACAGAGAAGCTTCTGAGAATGCTTCTATCTAGTATTTAGGTGAAGATATTTCCTTTTCCACCACAAACCACAAAGCCCTCCAAACGTCCACTTGCAGATTCTAGAAAAAGAGTGTTTCATAGCTGCTCTTTCCAAAGGAAAGTTCAACTCTGGGAGTTGAATACAAACATCACCAAAAAGTTCCTGAGAATGCATCTGTCTAGTTTTTCTATGAAGCTATTTCCTTTACTACCATAGGCCTCAAAGCGCTCCAAATCTCCACTTGCACATTCCACAGCAAGAGTGTTTCCAAACTGCTCTATCAATAGGAATGTTCAACTCTGTGAGGTGAATGCAATCATCACAAAGCAGTTTCTGAGAATGCTTCCGTTTAGTTAGCTGCAGTTATCCCGTTTCCAACGAAATCCTCAGAGAGGTCCAAATATCCACTTGTAGATACTACAAAAAGTGTGTCTCAAACCTGCTCCATCCAAAGGAATGTTCAGCTCTGTGAGTTCAACTCAATCATCACAAAGTATTTTCTGAGAATGCTTCTGTCTAGATTTTATGCGAAGATATACCCGTTTCGAACGAAGGCCACAGAGTGGTCCAAATAGCCACTTGCAGATCCTACAGAAAGAGTGTTTCAAACCTGAACTATCAAAGGAAGGTTCAACTCTGGGATTTGAATGCAAACATCACCAAGAAGTTTCTGAGAATGCTTCTGTTTAGTTTTTATGTGAAGATATTCCCGTTTCCAAAGACATCTTCGGAGAGGTCCACATATCCACTTGCAGATTCCACAAAAAGAGAGTTTCAACACTGCTCTATCCATAGGAGGGTTCAACTCTGTGAGTTGAATGCAATCATCACAGAGAAGTTTCTGAGAAGGCTTCTCTCCAGTTTTTATGTGACCATAATTCGTTTTCCACCACAGGCCTGAAAGCGCTCCAAATGTCCACTTGCAGACACTACGAAAAGCATGTTTCAGAACTACTCTATGAAAAGCAATGTGAAACTCTGGAAGTTGAACACAAACATCACAGAGAAGTTTCTGAGAATGCTTCTGTTTTAGTTCTGTGCGTTTTATCCCGTTTCCAACGAAATCCTCAGAGAGGCCCAAATATCCACTTGCAGATTCCACAGAAAGAGTGATTGGAAACTGCTGTTTGAAAAGGAACCTTCAACTCTGTGAGTTGAATGCAATCATCACAAAGAAGTTTCTGACAATGCTTCTATCTAGCTTTTACGGGAAGATAATTCCTTTTCCACCACAGGCCTCAAAGCCCTCCAAATGTCCACTTGCAGATTCTGGAAAAAGAGTGTTTCAAAGCTTCTCTCTCGAAAGGAAAGTTCAACTCTGTGAGTTGAATGCAAGCATCACAAAGAAGTTTCTGAGAATGCTACTGTCTAGCTTTTATATGAAGCTATTTCCTTTACTACCATAGGCCTCAAAGCGGTCCATATCTCCACTTGCAGATTCTACACAAAGAGAGTTTCCAAACTGCTCTGTCAAAGGGAATGTTCAACTCTGTGACTTGAATGCAATCATCACAAAGTAGTTTCTGAGAATGCTTCTGTTTAGTTCTGTGCGGTTTATCCCGTTTCCAGCGAAATCCTCAGAGAGGCCCAAATATCCACTTGCACATTCTACAAATAGTGTGTTTCGAAACTGCTCCATCCAAAGGAATGTTCAGCTCTGTGAGTTAAACTCAGTCGTCACCAAGAGTTTTCTGTGAATGCTTCTGTTTTAGTTGTGTGCGGTTTATCCCGTTTCCAACGAAATCCTCAGAGAGGTCCAAATATCTACTTGCAGTTTCTACAGAAAGACCGTTTCAAACCTGAACTATCAAAGAAAGGTTCAACACTGTGAGTTGAATGCAAACATCACGAAGAAGGTTCTGAGAATGCTTCTGTTTAGTTCTGTGCGGTTTATCCCGTTTCCAACGAAATCCTCAGAGAGGACCAAATATCCACTTGCAGTTTCTACAAGAAGAGTGTTTCAAAGCTGAACTATCAAAGAAAGGTTCAGCACTGTGAGTTGAATGCAAACATCACGAAGAGGGTTCTGAGAATGCTTCTGTCTTCTTTTTATAGGAAGTTATTTCCTTTACTACGGTACTCCTCAAAGAGTGCAATTATCCCCTTGCAGTTTCTACAAAAAGAGTGTTTCAAACCTGAACTATCAAAGAAAGGTTCCACACTGTGAGTTGAATGCAGACATCACGAAGAAGGTTCTGAGAATGCTTCTGTTTAGTCAGCTGAAATTATCCCGTTTCCAACGAATTCCTCAGAGAGGTCCAAATATGCACTTGCAGATTCTGCAGAAAGTGTGTTTCTAAACTGCTACATCGCAAGGAATGTTCAGCTCTGTGAGTTCCACTCAATCATCCCAAAGAATTTTCTGAGAAAGCTTCTGTCTAGATGTCGTGTGAAGATATACCCGTTTCGAACGAAGGACACAGAGTGGTCCAAATATCCACTTGTAGATCCTGCAAAAAGAGTGTTTCAAACGTGAACTTTGAAAGGAAAGTTCAACTCTGGGATTTGAATGCAAACATCACAAAGAAGATTCTGAGACTGCTTCTGTATAGTTTTTATGTGAAGATGATTCCGTTTCCAACGAAATCTTCAAAGAGGTCTACATGTCCCCTTGCAGATGCCACAGAAAGAGAGTTTCAAAACTGCGCTCTCAAAAGGAGTGTTCAACTCCGTGAGTTGAATGCAGTCATCACAGAGAAGCTTCTGAGAATGCTTCTATCTAGTATTTAGGTGAAGATATTTCCTTTTCCACCACAAACCACAAAGCCCTCCAAACGTCCACTTGCAGATTCTAGAAAAAGAGTGTTTCATAGCTGCTCTTTCCAAAGGAAAGTTCAACTCTGGGAGTTGAATACAAACATCACCAAAAAGTTCCTGAGAATGCATCTGTCTAGTTTTTCTATGAAGCTATTCCCTTTACTACCATAGGCCTCAAAGCGCTCCAAATCTCCACTTGCACATTCCACAACAAGAGTGTTTCCAAACTGCTCTATCAATAGGAATGTTCAACTCTGTGAGGTGAATGCAATCATCACAAAGCAGTTTCTGAGAATGCTTCCGTTTAGTTAGGTGCAGTTATCCCGTTTCCAACGAAATCCTCAGAGAGGTCCAAATATCCACTTGTAGATTCTACAAAAAGTGTGTCTCAAACCTGCTCCATCCAAAGGAATGTTCAGCTCTGTGAGTTCAACTCAATCATCACAAAGTATTTTCTGAGAATGCTTCTGTCTAGATTTTATGCGAAGATATACCCGTTTCGAACGAAGGCCACAGAGTGGTCCAAATATCCACTTGCAGATCCTACAAAAAGAGTGTTTCAAACCTGAACTATCAAAGGAAGGTTCAACTCTGGGATTTGAATGCAAACATCACCAAGAAGTTTCTGAGAATGCTTCTGTTTAGTTTTTATGTGAAGATATTCCCGTTTCCAAAGACATCTTCGGAGAGGTCCACATATCCACTTGCAGATTCCACAAAAAGAGAGTTTCAACACTGCTCTATCCATAGGAGGGTTCAACTCTGTGAGTTGAATGCAATCATCACAGAGAAGTTTCTGAGAAGGCTTCTCTCCAGTTTTTATGTGACCATAATTCGTTTTCCACCACAGGCCTGAAAGCGCTCCAAATGTCCACTTGCAGACACTACGAAAAGCATGTTTCAGAACTACTCTATGAAAAGCAACGTGAAACTCTGGGAGTTGAACACAAACATCACAGAGAAGTTTCTGAGAATGCTTCTGTTTTAGTTCTGTGCGTTTTATCCCGTTTCCAACGAAATCCTCAGAGAGGCCCAAATATCCACTTGCAGATTCCACAGAAAGAGTGATTGGAAACTGCTGTTTGAAAAGGAACCTTCAACTCTGTGAGTTGAATGCAATCATCACAAAGAAGTTTCTGACAATGCTTCTATCTAGCTTTTACGGGAAGTTAATTCCTTTTCCACCACAGGCCTCAAAGCCCTCCAAATGTCCACTTGCAGATTCTGGAAAAAGAGTGTTTCAAAGCTTCTCTCTCGAAAGGAAAGTTCAACTCTGTGAGTTGAATGCAAGCATCACAAAGAAGTTTCTGAGAATGCTACCGTCTAGCTTTTATATGAAGCTATTTCCTTTACTACCATAGGCCTCAAAGCGGTCCATATCTCCACTTGCAGATTCTACACAAAGAGAGTTTCCAAACTGCTCTGTCAAAGGGAATGTTCAACTCTGTGACTTGAATGCAATCATCACAAAGTAGTTTCTGAGAATGCTTCTGTTTAGTTCTGTGCGGTTTATCCCGTTTCCAACGAAATCCTCAGAGAGGCCCAAATATCCACTTGCACATTCTACAAATAGTGTGTTTCGAAACTGCTCCATCCAAAGGAATGTTCAGCTCTGTGAGTTAAACTCAGTCGTCACCAAGAGTTTTCTGTGAATGCTTCTGTTTTAGTTCTGTGCGGGTTATCCCGTTTCCAACGAAATCCTCAGAGAGGTCCAAATATCTACTTGCAGTTTCTACAGAAAGACCGTTTCAAACCTGAACTATCAAAGAAAGGTTCAACACTGTGAGTTGAATGCAAACATCACGAAGAAGGTTCTGAGAATGCTTCTGTTTAGTTCTGTGCAGTTTATCCCGTTTCCAACGAAATCCTCAGAGAGGACCAAATATCCACTTGCAGTTTCTACAAAAAGAGTGTTTCAAAGCTGAACTATCAAAGAAAGGTTCAGCACTGTGAGTTGAATGCAAACATCACGAAGAGGGTTCTGAGAATGCTTCTGTCTTCTTTCTATAGGAAGTTATTTCCTTTACTACGGTAGGCCTCAAAGAAGTGCAATTATCCCCTTGCAGTTTCTACAAAAAGAGTGTTTCAAACCTGAACTATCAAAGAAAGGTTCCACACTGTGAGTTGAATGCAGACATCACGAAGAAGGTTCTGAGAATGCTTCTGTTTAGTCAGCTGAAATTATCCCGTTTCCAACGAATTCCTCAGAGAGGTCCAAATATGCACTTGCAGATTCTGCAGAAAGTGTGTTTCTAAACTGCTACATCGCAAGGAATGTTCAGCTCTGTGAGTTCCACTCAATCATCCCAAAGAATTTTCTGAGAAAGCTTCTGTCTAGATGTCCTGTGAAGATATACCCGTTTCGAACGAAGGACACAGAGTGGTCCAAATATCCACTTGTAGATCCTGCAAAAAGAGTGTTTCAAACGTGAACTTTGAAAGGAAAGTTCAACTCTGGGATTTGAATGCAAACATCACAAAGAAGATTCTGAGACTGCTTCTGTATAGTTTTTATGTGAAGATGATTCCGTTTCCAACGAAATCTTCAAAGAGGTCTACATGTCCCCTTGCAGATGCCACAGAAAGAGAGTTTCAAAACTGCGCTCTCAAAAGGAGTGTTCAACTCCGTGAGTTGAATGCAGTCATCACAGAGAAGCTTCTGAGAATGCTTCTCTCTAGTATTTCGGTGAAGATATTTCCTTTTCCACCACAAACCACAAAGCCCTCCAAACGTCCACTTGCAGATTCTAGAAAAAGAGTGTTTCATAGCTGCTCTTTCCAAAGGAAAGTTCAACTCTGGGAGTTGAATACAAACATCACCAAAAAGTTCCTGAGAATGCATCTGTCTACTTTTTCTATGAAGCTATTCCCTTTACTACCATAGGCCTCAAAGCGCTCCAAATCTCCACTTGCACATTCCACAACAAGAGTGTTTCCAAACTGCTCTATCAATAGGAATGTTCAACTCTGTGAGGTGAATGCAATCATCACAAAGCAGTTTCTGAGAATGCTTCCGTTTAGTTAGGTGCAGTTATCCCGTTTCCAACGAAATCCTCAGAGAGGTCCAAATATCCACTTGTAGATTCTACAAAAAGTGTGTCTCAAAGCTGCTCCATCCAAAGGAATGTTCAGCTCTGTGAGTTCAACTCAATCATCACAAAGTATTTTCTGAGAATGCTTCTGTCTAGATTTTATGCGAAGATATACCCGTTTCGAACGAAGGCCACAGAGTGGTCCAAATAGCCACTTGCAGATCCTACAGAAAGAGTGTTTCAAACCTGAACTATCAAAGGAAGGTTCAACTCTGGGATTTGAATGCAAACATCACCAAGAAGTTTCTGAGAATGCTTCTGTTTAGTTTTTATGTGAAGATATTCCCGTTTCCAAAGACATCTTCGGAGAGGTCC